>NC_000006.12:95676850-95828365 GCF_000001405.40 Homo sapiens | reverse complement strand
GCCCCACAATCAATGAAGAATATGAGAATTTTCTTTTGGGCAGATAATCACAGATAATCAAAAAGGCCTGCCAACAACTTCTCTAAGCCTTGCACTACAATTTTTTTCTTAGACCAATAAATTGGAAAGTTTACCCTCTAGAGATTTTTTTTATTTTACTTCTAGAGTGTTTGAAAAAGTTCAGAAAACTACACTGAGTTTATTCAAAATTAATCTCAAGCATAAAATTAAAAAGATATTCTAAATCTTACTCCGAAAATTTCTGTTACCCAACTAAGCTTGCAAAACAAGATTTCCTGGTGCACATCAGGTGGCAACACAGCTTGAAAACACCATCATGCCAGTCATGTAAATATAACAGCAGTGTGTTAATGCCTTCTAACAGGTAACAAAAGACAACTTTCTGCAGGTAATTTCTATTTCCCAAAGAAACTTTGAAGTTCTTGCTATAGGTTGAATGTGTTCCCCAAAGTTCATGTATTGAAAACTTGATACCCAATGTGGCAGTGTTGAGAGGTGAAGTCTAATGGAAGAATTTGGTTCATGGGGTACCACCTTTGAGAATAAATTAATGCTGTTATCATGGGAAAGTGTTTCTTATAAATGGACAAGTTTGACTCCCTCTTGCTCTCTTGCCATCTTTTTGCCCTTCCAAAATGTTATGATGATGTAAGAAAGCTCTTGCTAGATGCAGGGCTCTCAACATTAGACTTCCCAGCCTTCAGAATCATGAGCCAATATATTTTGGTTCATCATAAATTACCCAGTCTATGGTATTCTGTTAATAGCAGCACATAATGTATTTAGAAAGTTCCAATTAGAAACCAAAAAAGAGCCTGCATTGCCAAGTCAATCCTAAGCCAAAAGAACAAAGCTGGAGGCATCACGCGACCTGACTTCAAACTATACTACAAGGCTACAGTAACCAAAACAGCATGGTACTGGTACCAAAACAGAGATATAGACCAATGGAACAGAACAGAGCCCTCAGAAATAATGCCGCATATCTGCAACTATCTGATCTTTGACAAACCTGACAAAAACAAGCAATGGGGAAAGGATTCCCTATATAATAAACGGTGCTGGGAAAACTGGCTAGCCATATGTAGAAAGCTGAAACTGGATCCCTTCCTTACACCTTACACAAAAATTAATTCAAGATGGATTAAAGACTTACATGTTAGACCTAAAACCATAAAAACCCTAGAAGAAAACCTCGGCAGTACCATTCAGGACATAGGCATGGGCAAGGACTTCATGTCTAAAACACCAAAAGCAATGGCAACAAAAGCCAAAATTGACAAATGGGATCTAATTAAACTAAAGAGCTTCTGCACAGCAAAAGAAACTACCATCAGAGTGAACAGGCAACCTACAGAATGGGAGAAAATTTTTGCAACCTACTCATCTGACAAAGGGCTAATATCCAGAATCTACAATGAACTCAATCAAATTTACAAGAAAAAAACAAACAACCCCATCAAAAAGTGGGCGAAGGATATGAACAGACACTTCTCAAAAGAAGACATTTATGCAGCCAAAAAACACATGAAAAAAATGCTCATCATCACTGGACATGAGAGAAATGCAAAACAAAACCACAATGAGATACCATCTCACACCAGTTAGAATGGCAATCATTAAAAAGTCAGGAAACAACAGGTGCTGGAGAGGATGTGGAGAAATAGGAACACTTTTACACTGTTGGTGGGACTGTAAACTAGTTCAACCATTGTGGAAGTCGGTGTGGCTATTCCTCAGGGATCTAGAACTAGAAATACCATTTGACCCAGCCATCCCATTACTGGGCATATACCCAGAGGATTATAAATCATGCTGCTATAAAGACACATGCACACGTATGTTTATTGCGGCACTATTCACAATAGCAAAGACTTGGAACCAACCCAAATGTCCAACAATGATAGACTGGATTAAGAAAATGTGGCACATATACACCATGGAATACTATGCAGCCATAAAAAATGATGAGTTCATGTCCTTTGTAGGGACATGGATGAAGCTGGAAACCATCATTCTCAGCCAACTATTGCAAGGACAAAAAACCAAACACCGCATGTTCTCACTCATAGGTCGGAACTGAACAATGAGAACACATGGACCCAGGAAGGGGAATATCACACACAGGGGACTGTCGTGGGGTGGGGGTGTGGGGTGGCATAGCATTAGGAGAAATACGTAATGTAAATAACGAGTTAATGGGTGCAGCACACCAACATGGCACAGGTATACATATGTAACAAACCTGCACATTGTGCACATGTACCCTAAAACTTAAAGTATAATAATAATAATAATAAAGAAAGCTCCAATTTGAAACTTCTCCCTTTATTTTCATTATTTTTATTTGAAATTTGCTTTATTGTTTGTTATTAATCTAAGTGTTTTTACTTTTTTTTTTAATTTCCAACGTTTATTGTAGGTTCAGGGGTACATGTGCAGGACGTGCAGTTTTGTTACATAGGTAAACGTGTGATGTGCCATGCTGGTTTACTGCACAGAACATCCCATCACCTAGGTATTAAGTCAAACATCCATTAGCTATTCTTCCTGATACTCTCCCTCCTCCCACCTCCCACACTCTTGACAGGCCCTGGTGTGTGTTTTTCCCCATCATGTGTCCATGTGATCACATCATTCAGCTCCCACTCACAAGAGAGAACTTTGGTTTTCTGTTCCTGTGGTTAATTTGCTGAGGAAAATAGCTTCCAACTTCATCCACATCCCTATGAAGGACATGACCTTCTTCATTTTTATGGCTGCATTGTATTCCATGGTTCTCCCCGGCTGGAGTGGAGTGGCGCGATCTTGGCTCACTGCAACCTCCGCCTCCCGGGTTCAAGCAATTCTCCTGCCTCAGCCTCCTGAATAGCTGGGACTACAGGTGCCCGCCACCACGCCCAGCTAATTTTTTTTGTATTTTAGTGGAGATGGGGTTTCACCGTGTTGCCCAGGCTGGTCTCAAACTCCTGAGCTCAGGCAATCCATTCGCCTCAGCTTCCCAAAGTGCTAGGATTACAGGCATGAGCCACCGTGCCCGGCCCCACATTTTCTTTAGTCTATCATTGATGGGCATTTAGGTTGATTGCATGTCGTTGCTATTGTGAATAATGCTGCAATGAACATACACGTGCATGTATCTTTATTATAGAATGATTTATATTCCACTGAGTATATACCCAGTAATGGGATTGCTGGGTCAAATAGTACTTCTGCCTCTAGGTCTTTGAGGAATCGCCATGCTGTCTTCCATAATGGTTGAACTGATTTGCACTCCCACGGAACAGTGTAAAAGCATTCCTTTTTCTCCACAACCTCATAAGCATCCGTTGTTTTTTGACTTTTTAAAAAGGATTTTTCCATAAGTTATTGGGGTACAGGTGGTATTTGGTTACGTGAGTAAGTTCTTTAGTGGTGATTTGTCAGATTTTGGTGTCCCCATCACCCTAGCAGTATACACTGCACCGTATTTGTAGTCTTCTGGCCCTTGCCCCCTTCCCACTCTTCCCCACAAGTCCCCAAAGTCAATTGCATCATTCTTATGCCTTTGCGTCCTCATAGCTTAACTCCCACATATCAGTGAGAACACACGATGTTTGGTTTTCCATTCCTGAGTTACTTTACTTAGAAAAATAGTCTCCAATCTCATCCAGGTCACTGCAAATGCTGTTTTTTCATTCCTTTTTTATGGCTGAGTAGTATTCCAACAAATATATAAATATATCATCATAAAGAAGTATATATAATATATACATATATATATATATACATATATATATATCTCACAGTGTATTTATCCACTCGTTGATTGATGGGCATTTGGGTTGTTTCCATGATTTTGCAACTGTGAATTGTGCTGCTATAAACGTGTGTGCAAGTATCTTTTTTGAATAATGACTGATTTTCCTCTAGGTAGATACCAAGTAGTGGGATTGCTGGATCAAATGGTAGTTCTGCTTTTAGTTCTTTAAGGAATCTGAACATTGTTTTCTGTAGTGGCTGTACTAGTTTACATTCCCACCAGCAGTATAGAAGTGTCCCCTGTTCAATGCATCCACGCCAGCATATACTGTTTTTTGATTATGGCCATTCTTGCAGGAGTAAGGTGGTATTGCATTGTGGTTTTGATTTGCATTTCCCTGATCCTTAGTGATATTGAGCATGTTTTTTCATATTTTTGTTTTCTATTTGTATATCTTCTTTTGAGAATTGTCTATTTATGTCCTTAGCCCACTTTTTGATGGGATTTTTTTTCTTACTGATTTGTTTGAATTTGTTGTAGATTCTGAACATTAGCCCTTTGTCAGATGTATAGACTGTGAAGATTTTCTCCCACTCTGTGGGTTGTCTGTTTACTCTGCTGACTGTTCCTTTGCCTTGCAAAAGCTCTTTAATTTAATTAGGTCCCAGCTATTTATCTATGTTTTTATTGCATTTGCTTTGGGGTCCTTGGTCATGAAATGCTTTCCTAAGCCAATGTCTAGAAGGGTTTCTCCAATGTTATCTTCTAGAATTTTTATAGTTTCAAGTCTTAGGTTTATGTCCTTAATCCATCTTGAGTTGATTTTTGTATAAGGTAAGACATGAGAATCCAGTTTCATTCTCTTACATGTGGCTAGCCAATTATCCGAGCACCACTTGTTAAAAAGAATGTCCTTTCCTCACTTTATGTTTTTGTTTGCTTCGTTGAAGATCAGTTGGCTGTAAGTATTTGGGTTTATTTCTGGGTTCTCTGTTCTGTTACATTTGTCTATGTGCCTATTTTTGTACAGGTACCATGCTGTTTTTGTGACTATGGCGTTATAGTATAGTTTGAAATCAGGCAGTGTGATGCCTCCAGATTTGTTCTTTTTGTGTAGTCTTGCTTTGACTATGTGGACTATTTTTTGGTTCCATTTGAATTTTAGAATTTTTTTTCTGATTCTGTGAAGAATGATGGTGGTATTTTGATGGGGATTGCATTGAATTTGTAGATAGCTTTGGCAATATGGTCATTTTCACATTATTGAATCTATCCATCCATGAGCATGGGATGTTTTTTCCATTTGTTCATGTCATCTATGATTTCTTTCAGCAGTGTTTAGTGTTTTGTAGTTTTCCTTGTAGAGATCTTTCGACTCCTTGGTTAGACATATTCATAAGTATTTTTTTTTTGAAGCTATTGTAAAAGGGGTTGAGTTCTTGATTTGATTCTCTGCTTGGTCACTGTTGGTGTATAGAAGAGCTACTGATTTGTGTACATTGACTTTGTATCTGGAAAGTTTGGTGAATTCTTTTATCAGTTCTAGGAGCTTCCTGGAGGAGTCCTTAGGGTTTTCAATGTAAACAATCATATTGTCAGCATATCTTCCTGATTTAAGCTAGGAGGCTTTTATTTTTCCAGGAATTTATCTATCTCTTCTAGGCTTTCTAGTTTTTGTGCATAAAGGTGTTCACAGTAGCCTTGAACGATTTTTTGTATTTCAGTGGTGTCAGTTGTAATATCTCCTGTTTCATTTTCTAGTGTGGTTATTTGGATTTTCTGTCTTCTTTTCTTGGTTAATCTTGCCAGTGATCTATCAATTTTATTTATCTTTTCAAAGAATCAGCTTTTTGTTTCATTTATCTTTTGTATTTTGTGTGTGTGTGTGTGTTTCAATTTTATTTAGTTCTGTTCTGACCTTGGTTATTTCCCTTATTCTGCTGGATTTGGGTTTGGTTTGTTCTTATTTCTCTAGTTCCTTGGGGTGTGACCTTAGAGTGTCAGTTTGTGCTCTTTCAGCCTGTTTGATGTAGGCATTTAAGGCAATGAACTTTCTTTTAGCATCACCTTTGCTGTATCCCAGAGATTTTGATAGGTTGTATCATTATTGTCATTCACTTCAAATAATTTTTTAATTTCCATCTTGATTTCAGTTTTGACCCAATGCTCATTAAGGAACAGGTTATTTAATTTTCCTGTATTTGCATGGTTTTGGAGGTTCCTTTTGGAGTTGATTTCCAGTTCTATTCCACTGTAGTCTGAGAGAGTGCTTGATATAATTTCAATTTTCTTAAATTTATTGAGGCTCATTTTATGGCCTATCACATGGTCTATCTTGGAGAAAGTTCCATGGGCTGTTGAATAGAATGTGTATTCTGCGGTTGTTGGATGAAATGTTCTGTATATATCTAAGTCCATTTGTTCCAAGGTGTAGTTTAAATCCATTGTTTCTTTGTTGACTTTCTATCTTGATGACCTGTCTTGTGCTGTCAGTGGAGTATTGAAGTCCCCCACTATTATTGTGTTGCTGTCTGTCTCATTTCTTAGGTCCATTAGTAATTTCATTATAAATTTGGGAGCACCAGTGTTAGGTAAATACATGTTTAGAATTGTGTTATTTTCCTGTTGGACAAGGCCTTTTACCATTGTATAATGTCCCTCTTTGTTTCTTTTAACTGCTGTTGCTTTAAAGTTTGTTTTGTCTGATGTACGAATAGCTATCCCTACTCACTTGTGGTGTCCATTTGCACGAAATGCCTTTTTCCACCCCATTACTTTATGTTTATGTGAGTCCTTATGTGGTAGATGAGTCTCCTGAGGGCAGCAGATGGTTGGTGAGTTCTTATCCATTCCGTGGTTCTGTATCTTTTAAGGGGAGCATTTAGGCCATTTACATCCAGTGTTAGTATTAAAATGTGAGGTATCATTGCATTCATCATCCTCTTTGTTGCCTGTGTACTTTGGTTTTTTTGTTTTTGGTTTTTCATTTGTATTTTAGTTTTATAGGTCCTGTGTGATTTATGCTTTAAAGAGGTTCTGTTTTGATGTGTTTCCACATTTTTTTTTAAGATTTGGAGCTCCTTTTAGCAGTTTTTGTTTTGGTGGCTTGATAATAGTGAATTCTTTCAGCATTTGTTTGTCTGAAAAAGATTGTCTCTTTCCTTCATATATGATGCTTAGTTTCTCTGGATACAAAATTCTTGATAATTGTTTTGTTTGAGGAAGCTGAAGATAGGGCACCAGTCCCTTCTAGCTTGTAGGTTTTCTGCTGAGAAATCTGCTGTTAATCTGATAGATTTTCCTTTATAGGTTACCTGGTGCTTGTGTCTTACAGCTCTTAAGATTCTTTCCTTTGTCTTAACTTTGGATAGCCTAATGACAATAAGCCAGGTGCAAATCTTTTTGTGGTGAATTTCCCAGGTGTTCTCTGTGCTTCTTGTGTTTGGATGTCTAGGTCTCTAGCAAGGCTGGGGAAGTTTTCCTCGATTATTCCCCCAAATATATTTTCCAAGCTTTTAGAATTCTCTTCTTCCTCAGGAATGCCAATCATTCTTAGGTTTGTTTATTTACCATAATCCCAGACTTCTTGGAGGCTTTGTTCATATTTCCTTATTCTTTTTTCTTTGTCTTTGTTGGATTGAGTTAATTCGAAGACCTTGTCTTCGAGCTCTGAATTTCTTTCTTCTTACTCAATTCTATTGCTGAGACTTTCCAGAGCATTTTGCATTTCTAAGAGTGTGTCCAAAGTTTCCTGAATTTTTGATTGTTTTTTTCTTTAAGCTATCTATTACCTTGAATATTTCTCCCTTCACTTTTTTATAATAGTTTAGATTTCCTTGAACAAGGAAATCTTTGTTTCCTGAAACAAAAAGGCTTCGCCTTTCTCTGGTCCCTTCCTATTTAGCTTAATAACTAACCTCCAGAATTCTTTTTCAGGTAAATCAGGGATTTCTTCTTGGTTTGGATCCATTGCTGGAGAACTAGTGTAATAGTGTAATTTTGGGTGGGTGATGATAAGTCTTGTTTTGTCATATTACCAGGGTTGGTTTTCTTGTTCCTTCTCATTTGGGTACGCTCTGTCAGAGGGAAGGTCTAGTGCTGAAGGCTGTTGTTCATATTCTTTTGTCCCACGGGGTGTTCCCTTGATGTAGTACTCTCCCCCTTTTCCTATGGATGTGGCTTCCTGTGAGCCACACTGCAGTAATTGTTGTCTGTCTTCTGGGTCTAGCGGTCCAGCAGTCCAGCGATCGTACCAGGCTCCAGGCTGGTACTGGGGGTTGTCTGCACAGAGTCTTGTGATGTGAACTGTCTATAAATCTCATTGCCTGTTCCAGTGGAGGTGATGAGGGGTGCAATGGACTCTTTCAGGGTTCTTAGCTTTAGTGGTTTAATGTTCTGTTTGTGCTGGTTTTGTGGTCTAATGTTCTTTTTGTGCTCGTTGCCCTCCTGCCAGGAGGTGGCGCTTTCCAAAGAGCATCAGCTGTGGTATTAGAAGGAGGAATTGGTGGTTGGCAGGGCCCTAGAACTCCCAAGATTATATACCCTTTGTCTTCTGCTACCAGGGTGGGTAGGGAAAGACTATCAATGAGGCAGGGCTAGGTGTGTCTGAGCTCAGACTCTCCTTGGGCAGGTCTGGCTGTGGCTGCTGTGGGGGATGGGGGTGAGATTCCCAGGTCACTGGAGTTGTGTACCTAGGAGGATTATGGCTGCCTCTGCTGAGTCAGGCAGGTTGTCAGGAAAATGGGGCAGAGCCAGCAGTCACAGGCCTCACCCAGCTCCCATGCAAACCAAAGGGCCAGTCTCATTCCCACCGTGCCTCCCCCAACAGCTCTCAGACCATTTCCAGGTGGAGAGCAATATGGGTTTGAAAACCTGCCCCAGACTATCCACCTCCTATCTGTGAAAGAAAAGCACTTAGTACTTTCTCTGCCTGTGAAGTCTGCACACCAGATTAGCACCCTCCCACCGAGTTCTCACCAGGAGACTTATCACCCCGTTCAAATTGTTAACAAGTTCAGCTACATATTTGTTTCTCCATGTTTAGTTTTACCCCCTGCTCCTCTCCGGATGGATCCTTGTGGTGCCAGGCAGGAATGGCCTGCTAGGGAACCCAAAAAGCTCCCAGGGCCTTTCTGTTTCTACCTCTACCCCTGTATTTCACTCAGCTTTCCAAATTGACTCAGCTCCAGGTAAAGTTGGAAACTTCTCCTGCAAACAGGCCTTCAGCTTCTCCAATTAGGGTGTGTATTTGGGAGAGGAGGGTCACCCTTTCCCACTTCCACAGTTGAGGCACTCAGAGTTTTGCAGGAGATGGAGGGGGGTCTCCTGTGTACTGCAGGAGCAGTCTGCTTCCTTCAGAGGGTCTGTGGGTCCTCTCAGGATTGCTGGTCTATTTTTTGACTTTTTAATAACAGTTCTGACTGGCATGAGATGATATCTCATTGTGGTTGTGATTTGCATTTCTGTAATGATCAGTGAGTTTGAGCTTTTTTTCATATGTTTGTTTGTTGGCTGCATGTATGTCTTCTTTTGAGGACGGTTTGGTCATGTCCTTTGCCCACTTTTTAATGTGGTTGTTGTTTCCTTTAAATTTGTTTAAGTTCCTTGTAGATGCTACATATTATACCTTTGTTAGAGGGATAGATGGCAAAAGTTTTCTCCTTTTCTGTAGGTAGTCTTTTTACTCTGTTGATAGTTCTTTTGCTGTGCAGAAGCTCCTTAGTTGTGAATTGGAGTTCATTCATGATTAGGTCTCTGCTTGTCTGTTGTTGGTGTATAGGAATGCTTGTGATTTATGCACATTGATTTTGCATACTGAGACTTTGCTGAAGTTGCTTATCAGCTTGAGAAACTTTTGGGCTGAGACATTGGGATTTTCTAAATATAGGAGCACGTCATCTGCAAGCAAAGATAGTTTGACTTCCTCTCTTCCTATCTGAATACGCTTCATTTCTTTTGCTTGCCTCATTGCCCTGGCCAGAGATTCCAATACTATGTTGAATAGGAGTGGTGAGAGAGAGCATCCTTGTCTTGTGCTCATTTTCAAGTGGAATGCTTACAGCTTTTTTCCCATTCAGTACGATACTGGCTGTGTGTTTGTTGTATATGGCTCTTATTGTTTTGAAGTGTGTTCCTTCAATACTTAATTTATTGAGAATTTTAAGGGACGTTGAATTTTATTGAAGGCCTTTTCTGCATCTATTGAGATAATCATGTGGTTTCTGTCTTTAGTTCTGTCTACGTGATGAATCACTTCTATTGATTTGCATATGTTGAACCAACCTTGCATCCCTGGGATGAAGCCTACTTGATCGAAGTGAATAAGCTTTTTGATGTGCTGCTGAATTCAGTTTGCCAGTATTTTGCTGATTTTTGCAGCGATGTTCATCAAGGATATTGGCCTGTAGTTTTCTTTATTTGTTGTATCTCTGCCAGGTTTTGGTATCAGAATGATGCTGGCCTCATAGAATGAGCTAGAGAGGATCCCCACCTTTTCAATTTTTTGGAATAGTTTCAGTTGGAATGGTACCAGCTCTTCTTTGTACCTCTGGTAGAATCAGCTGTGAATCTGTCTGGTCCTAGGCTTTTTTTTAGTTGGTAGGCTCTTTATTACTGCTTCAATTTCAGAACTCATTATTGGTCTATTCAGGGATGTAATTTCTTCCTGGTTTAGTCTTGGGAGGATGTATGTGTCCAGGAATTTATTCATTTAGATTTTCTAGTTTATGTGTATAGAAGTGTTTATAATATTCTCTGATAATTTTCTAGCTTATGTGCATAGAGGTATTTATAGTATTATCTGATAGCTGTTTGTATTTCTTGGCGGGGGGGTCAGTGGTGATATCTTCCTTATCATTTCTAATTGTGTTTATTTGAACCTTCTCTCTTTTCTTCCTTATTAGTCTACCTAGCAGTCCAGAAAAACTGAGGTTGAAAAAGTGTCCCTCCCTTATTGGCCAGATGGTTTTAATCTGTAGCAGCAGCCTGGATTATCTGTCACTAAAACAGGTGGAGCTTCTCCTGCATTTCCAAAGCTGTGCACCACCACGAAATTATTAATTGATTTAGTATTTCTAAAGATCCATGTAGTCAACAAATCTATTAAGGAATCCAAATACCAATTGTACATCAATAAAATTTAGAAAACACCAAGTTGTTATAAGTTTAAAATCAATGTACCAATTTTCTCTACCTTACTCCTCAATCAAAAGTAGTGTTCCCAGAACTGTAACATATAGATCTATACTGATTTGCTAACCATAACCCATAGCAAAGAATTAACATTATGGATAAAAGGACTACATGGAAAAGGAAAACAAAGTTTTAGAAAGGAAAGATACATTTCTTGATTTTGTTCTCTAGTTTGCATTAGTTGATGCTGGTGATCTACAACCCACAATGGGTTATTATGACAACATGCTTTACATTTTCTGGAGGAAATAACTTTCATTTATAAAATGAGTTTCTCTGCCAGAAATTGGAACCCAAATCACCTCTGGCTTTTTGCGTATTGAGACATTTGCACTACAGGCCTCTAGATTTTCCCTTTTAGTTTCAATTTTCTCCTCTACCCCAACCTTAGCAATTTCAGTGGGGCTTTTTCTGTGAAGAATCTGAGCATAGGCCCAAGTGTCACAACATCTTAGGTATCCACTGTGTGTGACCTGAAACAAATTATAACAACTTTATTAACTCCAGTTCACTCATCTATTAAAAGATCATAATAATAGCACTCTATCTCACATGGCAATGTTAAGGATTTAATGAGATAATATAAGTAACATGCCTTGTGCAGGGCCTGACACACAATAAGTACAGGGCATGTTTTTAATAGGTCACTGTCCAAACACATATCCTGATCTTGAGGGTCTTCTGCTCTTCTCTTTTATGCTTCTTCATCTTTAGCAGAAGGTAATGGGGCCCTAGGGCAAGAGGATCTCACAGATGATAAAATACGGAAAAGAGATTGGGTGAATTTAGGAATGATAAAGACATCAAATGTGTAGCACCATAAAGGGTCATCAAGAGCTGTGTCATAGCTACATACATTATGCTATGATTTTCTTTTATGGAATGGTCACAAATTCACATGGTTCCCCAAGGTCTGGCATTTGATTACACATTGTCCCAGTAAATTTTGTACTCCTCTATGCTTTGTTTACCCTAATAAGATTGGAAGCTATTTGAAAATAGGATCGTAGCATCTTGAGTTCTTTTATAATTTGTACCTTCAATATGTAATATAGTACAGGACACTTAATCTTCACTTTTTTGTTGGTTAACTAATGGAGAAATTAGATATGATTGTGTTGTTCCTCTGTCAACTATGAACTTATAGGTAAAATCTTGTGGAGAGAGAAGACACAGAAATATATAAGAAATGGCGAATTCAATGAAATGTGTAATTATGGATTTAGAGTAACATTGACATTATAATCCTCTTTATTCACACTTTTAACCCAATTTGGAGTTGTTCTTCAGATATTGTTATAGTATCATAATTTTATCTAAATTAAAACATCAAAAAATGATTGGGCATCGAATTTTTATGAATATTCGAAGTCAAAATGATAAGCATATTTTCAATGTCTTGACCACAGGCAAGACAAACACTGAAATCCATAGTTGATTAAGGCAATGTTTATGGAATCGTATCTATTAGATCAAGTGTGCTCACTTCTTGGTTATGAAAGTACATTGTAATGTTTAACAGTTCTGTCTTCTTTTGCTTGTGACTCTATCAGTGAAACTATTTACATGTGACATTTACTTTTTATTATATAAAGCTCTTGTATTTTAGTATTGTCTGTTATTATTCACAAAGAAGGGAAAAATTGGTGTTTGCGTAGTATAGCTGGAGTCCAATACTTCAGTTTTGTTTCAGTTAAATAAACAGTTCCATTCATAAAGATTCTTTGGTTCACCTTCAGTGATCCCTCCCTTGGCAGAGTGCTGCTATCACACTATTTCCACATGTTCTCAGGCAAAGAGAACACAGTTCAACTTCCATGCCACTGGGTCACTGGTTTGGGGGAAAAGTCAACACATGTTAGGTGAACTCTGCACACTCACTTGGCCCTGGAGAACACAATGAACCACACTTGGTCTCTTTTCAGAAAGCAGTGGAGGAGGTAGACAGGGAATCAGACTTATAAATGTCCAACTGTCCTCACAGCTGTATCTTCATAGTCTAATAATCATGCATACATATTTATTAATGAGAGAAAGGAGATGATTATAAAAAGATTTATAAATAAGCACTCAATTAAAATATTGTGACTGCAGGAGAAATTAAACATGGGGTCTTAGGGCTAAATGCATTTTTCCTGCCACTGTTATTTAGCTTCTGTTTTATTAAAATACTGTTTTATTTCATAGTTAATAAATTATAGTTATATCTTTAACTAATATGGAACATTTTTATTACGTATTATTATAAAATAATAATTTAGAAAAATTATAATGATATGTGATCTTTACTAAGTACTTTCTATCTACCAGTGATTGTGCTAAGGACTTTATAGTACTTGTTTAATTCATTTACATATAAAATATGTAATACAACTGAATATGATGATAAGAATGGATGAAAAATATTGTGAACAGAGTAGGTGAAGTGGTAGGTATTTAGACAACTATACATGGAGAAAAGATGGATCAAAATGGAAAGTGATTTTTTTGGCCATCCCAGAAGAAGAAAACCAATACCAACCCCCAATAAAGTAAATGCGTGCTCCTCCCTGTCAAGGACCTGGAGAAGTCTGGCAGTGTGTGTGGCTTCACTACATAGTAACTCCTACCTCTCGGGAAGGTGAGGGTGGGAGTGGGCTGTTGTGATCACAGCTGAAGTAATGCACAGAAGGATGAAGATCCATCCTAAGGGATAAATAGTTTTCAAACCACAGGTAGAGCTGAGATGGTTTTTCCAGCTGTTTCTGAGACTTTGCATATCCATAGACTCTGGGTAGAGCTAAGAAACTGAAAAAAACAACACATGTGCCCACCAATTTCCCTCTTCTGGCCTAGAAAAAGGAATAAATGTCAATGGTTGCAGATGAGGTGAGTGCACTTTGAAGACTAAGGTCACTCAGGAATCCTAAATATTTATATGCACTCTACACATTTAATGTTTAATATATGCAAGTAATCTATATTTTGTTAATTATATTTCTTAATATTGCATCATCACAACAGTGCTTGAAACAATTTTAGATAGTCTCAGAAGTGCTGAGAAAAGAAAATATATCTCCAGTAAGATTCTATAAAGCCAATTATCAGGAGAATTCATAAAAATGGCCTAGGTTAAGATGCTATATATATAATGTAAACATATTTTTAGAAGGCACTTGCATATAGTCTACTTCTAGATAACCCAACTGACTGTCCTTATTTTTAAAAAAACACTTAAGTACTTGAAGATTAAGACAAATAAATCTAGTCTATGATGTATAGCTTTTAGTTCATAAACTATCAATTTTGTCTTCTAGAGACATATTTGTTGTTCTTTATAATAAGGCAGTCTTAGAATTAGAAAACTCTACTTAATTAATCTCAATTGGAGTCCCTCTGATAAATATATAGACTAGGAAATAGTCTAAGCACCTAATAATGATTTCTAACATCTGAAAGAAAATAATTTCAATGCATAATAAAATATGATGGTTTTATGAAACAACTATGAAATCAGATCTTTTGCAATAAAATAAGAATATTAAAAAATAATTTTTAGGGGTGTTATCCTATGTCACAATGTAAAAACTTGTTTAGAAAGCTAACATAGAGATTTCTAATTATAAAAACTTGGAATAGATATCTTCTTTCCTGCCTTTCTCACTAAGTACAGCTAAAATCCCTGGACTTTATACATATTACAGACTTAAGAGGGCTGTGAAATATGGAGAGAAGGAAGATACTCTAGGGATCTTGGAATTAGGAATGACATAGTAGTGCCTTCCCTGGGTTTTGCTTTTGCTATGCCAGATTTGATTCTGCAGAAGCCAGCAACCCAGAAACAACAACAAACACAAACAAAATAAACCCCAAGAAAAGCTCACTCTCTCTAACCTAAGGACCAGGAAAGGGGCAGCCTAACAATACAGAAAATTTTTACACAATAGTCACCCTATGAAAGCAATATATCACAGAAAAAACCATGACCCCACTCCCACCCCCCACTGACAATGGCTGAATCTGGAATCTACATGTCCACTCTATCTATAGTGAAATGAGGCACCTCTTTATCCCACTTCCACCTGGCCAGTGTGGTGTCAGAGAAAGCTAAATGGAAAGCCCAGAGCTTTATCCCAACAGGGCAGTAAAGAAGCCCTTCCCTGGTCTCCTGGAGTATCAGTGGAGACCACATGGGAGAGTCTGGACTTCCACTCCCATTGAGGATAAAGAAGTACCCACCTCCTCCTCCTAGGGTAGTATCAGAGGAGATATAATGGAGAGTCAGAACTTTTATCACCACTAATAATTAACTAGAACAGCCTCTCACCCTTTCAGACATCTACCCCTAACATGTCAGTAGAGGCCACATGGCTAAGAGTAGCAGAAACCAGACACCCTTGCTTTCCCAGTCATGATCGTGTCAGCAGATGTCTACTGGAGAGCTTCAACTATCATCTCTGCCAAGCAGTAGTAAGAAACTCCTTGGGCCTGGCGCAGTGGCTCACGCCTGTAATCCCAGCACTTTGGGAGGCCGAGGTGGGTGGATCATGAGGTCAGGAGATCAAGACCATCCTGGCTAACACGGTGAAACCCCATCTCTACTAAAAATACAAAAAATTAGCCAGGTGTGGTGGCGGGTGCCTGTAGTCCCAGCTACTCAGGAGGCTGAGGCAGAAGAATGGTGTGAACCCGGGAGGCAGAGCCGAGATCGCGCCACTGCACTCCAGCCTGAGCAACAGAGTGAGACTCTGTCTCAAAAAAAAAAAGAAAAAAAAAGAAAGAAACTCCTTGGGCGTAAACAGATAGTGAGTGAGTAACCTGGATTTCCACTGTCACTGGCAGTACTGTTACTCCCATGGGAATGGTGGCAGACGAGGCCTGTTAAAATAGATTTAAATAAAATACATAGCCTCATAATATAATACCAAAAACATATAAATTTCTATTAAAAATCACTTCCCATACCAAGAACCTGAAAAATCTTAACTTCAAGGAGAAAAAACAATCCACAAATGCCATTAGCTAGATGATGCAGATGTTAAAAATATCTGGCAAGGACTTTAAAAGCAGTGATCATAAAAATGCTTCAATGAGCAAATGTGAACTCGTTTGAAACAAAATATGGAAAGCAAGGGGAGAAGACATAAAGAACAAAATGGAAACTCAAAATTTAAAAGTGTAGTAACTAAATTGAAAACCCTCTAGATGGGCTCAAAAGAAGAATGAAAATAAAAAAGAAAGGAATTTGTGAATTTGAATATAGAACAATAGAAATTACCCAATATGGACAATAACGAGAAATTGAACGTAATAAAGTTCAGGGATGTGAGGAATTGTAGCAAAAGATTCAACTTCTGTGTCATTGGAGTCCTAAAAGGAAGGGATATTGAATTTATAACTTTAAGACTTTTAAAAAAAGAAGGTTTCCAGGACCAGATGGTTTCACTGAAGAATTCCACCAAAGGTTAAAGAATAATTAATATAAATCTCTTTCAGAAAACAAAGAAGAAAACTTTTCCCAACACATTTGATGAAGTTGATATTACTTAGATATCAAACCAGGGAAAGGCAATATGAAAAAGAAAATTACAGACTAATATCCTTCATGAATATGGACATAGAAATTCTTCATAAAATGTTAGAAAATAGAATTCTGCAATATGTTAGAAAATTATGAACCATGGCCAAATGAGCTTTATTTCAGAGATGCAAGACTGATTTTAAAATCAATCAATATAATCCATTATATAATAGGTTAAGAAGAAAAATCAGAATAAAATGATCATATACATTGATGCAAAAAAGTTATTTGACAAAATTCAACATCTTTTATGGTATAATCTCCCAGAATAATGTGGAATTTATTCAGCTTGTTGAATAACATCTACAAAAAAACCTTCAGCTAACCTCATACCTATTAATGAGAGACCGAATGCCTTTTCTCCTAAGATTGGGAACTAGACAGGTGTCTGCCTATAACATTCTTACCCAATGTGGTACCAGAAATTCTAGACAACAAATTAACACACAAAAAGGAAATAAATGGGATATAGATCAGAAAGGAAGAAATAAAATAGTCTCTATTTACAGATGACATAAATTTACATAGAAAATCCCAAGGAAACTATGAAAAATTCATAAAGTGAGTACAATAAAGTCACAGGATACAAGTTTAACATAAAAAACACAATTGTATTTCTGTGTAAGCTCAATGAACAAACACATACACATCTAAATTAGAAATGCAATGTCATTTATAATCACTCAAAAAATGAAATACTTACATGTAAATCTAACAAAATATACGTGACTTGTTTGTTAAACTGCACAACACTGAAGAAGACATTAAAGAAATTCTTAATAAATCAAGAAAAATGCCATGTCCATGGATTGGAAGACTCCACATAGGAAAGATGTAATTTTCCTGTATATTAATGTAATTGTTATAAAAATTCCAGCAATATTTTGTGTAGATATAGAAATGTTATTAAAAAGTTTACATGAAAAGACAAAGGGTCTAAAATAGCTAAAGCAATTTTTAAATAGAAGAATAAAATGGGCGAAATCAGTCTACAAAATTCCAAGTCTCAGAATCGTGTCATCTGCAAACACAGATAGTTTGACATTTTCTCTTTCTATTTGGATGCATTTTCTTTCTTTCTTCTGCCTGATTGCTCTGGCCAGGACTTCCAGTACTATTCTGAATGGGGGTGGTGAAGGAGGGCATCCTTGTCTCCTTCTAGATTTCAAGGGGAATGTGTCCAGATTTTGCCCATTCAGTATGCTGTTCACTGTGAGTTTGCAATAGATAGCTCTTACTGTTTTGAAGTATGTGTCTTCAGTGCCTAGTTTATTGAGTATTTTTAACATGAAGCGATGTTGAATTTGATCAAAAGCCTTTTCTGCATCTATTGAGATAATCATATGGTTTTTGTTTGGTAGTTCTGTTTATGTAATGAATCATATTTATTGATTGGCATATGTTGAACCAAACTTGCATCCCAGGGATAAAACCTGCACGATCATGGTGGATTAGTGTTGTGATGTTCTGCTAGATTCAGTTTGCTAATATTTCATCAAGGATTTTTGCATCTATATTCATCATGGATATTGGCCTGAATTTTCTTTTTGTTGTTGTTGTGTCTTTGCTAGGTTTTGGCATCAGGTTGATGCTGACCTCATAGAATGAACTGGGTAGGAGCCTTAGTCTCTGCCCACCCAAAAGCTCCTTGATCTGATTAACAACCTCAGCAAAATTTCAGAATACAGAATCAATGTACAAAACTTAGTAGCATTCCTATATACCAACAACATCCAAGTTGAGAGCCAAATCAGACATACAACAATTGCCACAAAAAATACCCAGGTATATAGCTAACCAGGGAGGTGAAAAATCTCTACAGTGAGAATTATAAAACACTGCTTACAGAAATCAGAAATGACGAACAAATGGGAAAACGTTCCATGATAATGGATAGAAAGAATTAATATTGCCAAAATGGACATATTGCCCAAAGCAATTTATAGATTCGATGCTATTTCTTTTAAACTACCAATGACATTCTTCATAGAATTAGAGAAAACTATTTTAAAATTCAT
Organism: Homo sapiens; assembly: GCF_000001405.40. Taxonomy (NCBI): domain Eukaryota; kingdom Metazoa; phylum Chordata; class Mammalia; order Primates; family Hominidae; genus Homo; species Homo sapiens. The sequence goes on along the minus strand of NC_000006.12, from coordinate 95,809,833 downwards.
ATGGAACAAAAAAAAAAAAACCTGAATAGCCAAGTCAATGCTAAGCAAATGGAAGAAAGCTGGAGACATCACACTACCCAACTTCAAACTATGCTACAAGGCTACAGCAATGAAAACAGTGGTTACTGGTACAAAAAAAGACACACAGACCAATGAAACAGTATAGAGAGCCCAGAAATGATGCTTCACACCTACAATTATTTGATCTTCAACAAAACTGATGAAAACAAGCAGTGGCTAAAAGATTCTATTCAATAAATGGTGCTGGAATAACTGGCTAACCATATGCAGATGATTTAAACTGGACCCCTTCCTTATACCATATACAAAACCAACTCAAGATGGATTGAAGGGTTAAACGTAAAACATAAAACTATAAAAACTCCAGAAGATAACCTAGGAAATGCCATTCTGTACATAAGATCTGCAAAGATTTCATGATGAAGATACCAAAAACAATTGCAATGAAAACAAAAATTGACAAATGAGAGCTAATAAATCTAAAGGCTTCTGAACAGCAAAAGAAATTATCAACAGAGTAAACAGACAATGTACAGAATGGGAGACAATATTTACAAACTATGCATCTGACAAAGGTCTAATAACCAGAATCTATATGAAACTTAAACAAATTTACAAGCAAAAAACACACAACCCTATCAAAAAGTGGGCAAAGGACATGAGCAGACACATTTCAAAAGAAGACATACATGTGACCAACAAGCATGTGAAAGAAGTACTCAACATAAACTAATCACTAGAGAAATGTATATCCAAACCACAATGAGATACTGTCTCACACCAGTCAGAATGGCTATTATTAAAAAGTCAAAAAATAACATACAGACCAGGTTGCAGAGAAAAGGGAATGCTGATACAATGCTAATGGGAATGTAAATTAGCTCAGCCACTGTGGAAATTGGTGTGGCAATTTCTCAATGAAAACAGAATTACCATTCAACCCCCCAAAGCCATTATTGGGTATATACCCAAAGGAATAGAAATCATTCTGCCATAAAGATACATGTACACGTATTTTTGCTGCAGCACTACTCACAATGGCAAAGATATGGAAATTATCCTAAATGCCCATCAGTGGTAGGCTGGATGAAGAAAGTGTGGCACATATTCACTATGGAATACTGCACAGCCATAAAAAGGAACAAGATCATGTCCTCTGCAGCAACATGGATGGAGCTGGGGGTTATTATTCTAAGCAAATTAACACAGGAACAGAAAACCAAATACAACATGTTCTCACTTACAAGTGAGAGTTAAATGATGAGAACGCATGGATACAAAGAGGAGAAAAAAAGACACTGGGGCCTACTAGAGGGTAGAGAGAGGGAGGAGATCAATGATCAGAAAAAATACCTATCGGGAACTATGCTTGTTACCTGGGTGATGAAATAATCTGTACACCAAACCCCTATGACATGCAGTTAACCTATATAACAAACTTGCACATGTACCCTGAGCCTAAAATAAAAGTTAAAAACAAAATTCCAAGTCTTATATATAGCAACAGTAATCTGTACCGCATCATATTGGTAGAAGAATAAATGTACAGATCAATGGAACAGAATAGATAATACAGAAACCAGAAATAGCCCCACATAAGTATAGCCAATTCATTTTGAAAAAAATTAAAGAGCAATAAATAGAGAAAGGATCATCTTTTTAGCAAATAGTGATAGAGCAATTGTATCTCCATAGGGAAAAATATATACTTTGACTTAAACCTCATACCTTACACAGAAGTTAACAAAGTATTTTATAAATTCAATTGTAAAATATAAAACTATAAAACTTTTAGGAGAAAATGTTTGTGACTTTAGGACTCGGTAAAGAGTTTATTAACATGATACCAAAAGTACAATTCATAAAAGCAAAAAAATCAACAAATGGACTTCAACAAAATTAAATACTATAGTTCTATAAAAGGACCTGTCTCTTTCTGCATCTACTGATAATAAAATGAAAGAAAATAAACTGCCAAGTGGATGAAAAGACAAACCTACAGACTGGGAAAAAGTATTTGCAAACCACATTTCTGACAAACAACTTACATCTAGAATGTATGAAAACTCTCAAGAGTCAACAATAAAAATAATCCAAGCACAATACATGAAGATTTCACCAAAAAGAATATATAGATGGCAAATGAGCACATGAAAAGATGATCAACATCACTAGCTATTAAGGAAATGTAACTTAAGGCCACGATGAGATCTCACTATACACTTAGTAAAACAGCTAAAGTAAAAGAGTGTTAATACCAAAAGCTGGTGAAGATGTGGAGAAACTGTATACCTTACACATTTCTGTGGAAATATAAAATGGTTCAGCCATCCTGGAAAATAGTTTGGCCATTTCTTTACAAAGTAAACACACATTTACCATATGACTCAGCAATAGTTCCCCTAGGCATTTTTCCCAGAGAAATAACTCCATACAAAAATCTGTACAAAAATGTTCATTGAAGCTTTATTTGTATTTACCTCAAACTAGAAACAACCAAAATATCTTTCAACAGTTGAACGGTTAAATAAATTGTGTTACATCCATACCATAGAATACTACTCAGCAATGAAGAGGAACTACTGATACGTGCAACAACTTGGATGAACCCTGAGAAAACAGTTTTAAAAAGCTAATATCAAAATATTACATGTTGTAAGATTCCATTTATATAGCATTTTTTAATGAAAAAATTTTAGAGATGGATAACTAGTTGATTACTTGGGATTAGGAATGGAGAGTGGGGAAGGTAGATGTGACTCTGAAGGAAAAGTCTTTGAGGTAATGGAATACCTCTATCTTCATTGTAGTGATGTTTCCACAAATCCACATATGCAGTAAAATGGTGTAGACATATACACACTCATTGAACCACTGCCAATTTTTTGTTTTGATATTATATTATGGTTATGTAAGATATAATCACTTGGAGAAATTGGGTGATATGTACATGGAGCTTAACTGTACAATTTTTCAACTTCCTGTGAATTTGTATAAACTGTACAAACTGAATTTGTATAAACTGTATTTGTATAAAACTCAAAATAGAGACTTTTTAAAAAGCTAATATAAGAGATGTGAAAATCTGCAGAGCTCAAGATCATTGTGAAGGTTTTTTGAGGTAGATCTAGAGCAAACTGTTAGAAATGGAAATCATTCTGTAACTATTAGCATAAGAACTGCTTTCATTAAATTGCTTATAAGGCCAATGTCAATGGGCCATGGCAGTTTCTTTTATATGAATACCGAGTTAACCTATGTTAAATTAAAACAATAATTACAGCAGTCATTGGAAGTTTTAATTTAAATTGTCACATGTGACAGGATTTTCTTATTTTTGTGGCTGAATGCTATTTCATTGTATGTTTATACCACATTTTCTTTACACGTTTGATATGGTTTGACTATAGGTCTCTGCCCAAGTCTCATGTCGAATTGTAATCCCCAGTGTTGGAGCAGGGGTCTAGTAGGGGGTGACTGGATTATGGGGGTGAATTTCCCTCTTGCTGTTCTCATGATAGTGAATGAGTTTTCATGATATCTGGTTGCTTGAAAGTGGGTAGCACCTCCCCTTTTTCTCTCTTCTTCCTGCTCCAGTCCTGTGAGATCTAACTCTTTCCACTTTACCTTCACCGTAACTACAAGTTTCCTGAGACCTCCCCAGCCATGCTTCCTGTACATCCTGCAAAACTGTGAGCCCCCCCTTTTTTTTTTTTAATAAATTACCCAGTCTCAGGTAGTTCTTTACAGCAATGTGAGAATGGACTAATACACCATTCTTCCATCAATGGACATTTAGATTGTCATACAGTATAGATGAACCTTGAGGACATCATGCTAATTGAAATAAGCCAATCACAGAAGGACAAATACTGCTTGATTCCATTTACACAAGGTATCTCACCTAGTCAAACATAGAAACACAAAGTAGAATGGTGGTTTCCAGGAGCTAGTGAGAGGGGAAAATGGTGAGTTGCTGTTCAATAGACATAGAGTTCCAGTTATGAAAGATGAAAAAGTTCTAGAGACAACATTGTGCTTATAGACAACAACCCTGTACTGTACACTTAAAAATTTGTGAAGAGAGTTGATCTCACAGTGTTTTTTCAATACAATAAAAAGTTAAATTGCCACTGGAAATATTTTTCTATATCAGTGCTCTTTCAACTGCGATCCACAAATTGTGCTAACAATAAACTCCTTGTTATGGGGTTTGTGTCAATATAAAGAGCTTAATCACAATTCACAACAGCACTAAGCATTCTGTTTCACATATCTGACAGGTTCTTGGTAGCAAGATTTTATTGATGAAGATAGCAATGCATTATATTACATTTTGGATCAAGCTTCTTATCTCTTAGTGTAAGGGTAACGAACAGTTTGGGGAACAGCTACTTTGAGTAGTGTGGTTACTTTTATTCTTTGTGAGTCATTTCAAACATAGATAATCAAATACAGAAATTACAAATAGAAAGGCAGAATGACTTCCTCCTCTGTGCATACACACACACACACACCACCCCAGAAAGCTCTACCTTCTGGCAGGCACTTTGATTGCTGAGATATGAACTGTAATGGTATGTTCAAAGGAGTTCAAAGAAAAATTTCAAAATCAAGAGATTAGTGCCTTTCTTTTGTTTTGTTTGCTATCCAGAAAAAAAGATTGTCAAATTTGTTTTCTGACATCAAAGAAACAGTCCATTTTCATTCATTTTTTTTTTTTTTTTTGTATTCTGTTCAGTGGAGAGTATGGCCAAGCCAGGACTTAACCATTCAATGACCAAGTTAATGCGATAACTAATAATCTGACATAGCTCAGAAATTGAGTACTTTTTTTTGGAAAAATGTTTTGGTTGACAGGCAGTAATACAGCTGCACACCTTAAGTTTCTGGAAATGGTGTCACTAGAAGTAATTAGCTCTTTCCAAATCTGTGAAGTAACTTCTTGTGACATCTTCAAATACTCCACATTGAAAGCATAATGGTATAGGCCATACTATTTTTACAACTCAAGTCTTCTCTTTATATGGCCTGAGGCAAACATCAGAGTGCCTCATAGCATATGTTCAATACATACCTGTTGAATTGAGATAGTTTGGTGTTATGAAAAGAGCATGGGCCTGGGAACATGAATATTAGGTTCTAGGCCTAGAGCTAACAGACTTAGTGGTGTGACCTCAGTAAGTCATTAGTTGACTTTACACTTTGATTTCCACTTAGTGAAAATTCAGGTTAGAGGAACAACACAATACATTACTTTTAAAGGCATCTACTTATCTTGCCTAATAAACACCATCAACCAATTTCCATACTCTTAAAATAATTTCTTTACTGGTCTCTAGTGAGGAAATTTTAGATATACATATAAATTTCACATCTACTGATCGTTCCAGGTAAATCTTTTTAAAAGATTTATTTGATCATTTCACTTTTGAGTGTTAAAATTGAACAATAAAACAAACAAAAGTTCACTACCATTCTCTAAACAAAGCTCAAAATGTTGACTTTCAGTTTGGCTTTACAAAATCCCCATTAGCCATTAACAGCCATTATTCTCAGTCTTTTATTTCATTCTGCTGTGAAATTAGTATTTATTCTAGCCCAACAACATCCTGCCCTTATCATACCTGGCTAAGCTCTGCTGCTGTGTTATTGGCTTATAATATTCCTTTAACTTAGAAGTCTCCTCCTTTTCTCCTTTTAACCCTTGCTTTGCCAACAATAGTTCACATTTATTGAGTGCTCACTAGTACCAGCAAATACACTAAAACTTTTACAACATTTTCCTGTTTTTAATTTGCACAACAACTCTCTCAAATAGGCAATATTATTAGGTCCATTTTCCTAATAAAAAAACTGAGATATGGAGAGGTTAAATAAATGTTCCAAGGTCAGGCAGACAGTATAGTAGCAAAATGGGAAATGAGATAAAAATCCATTTTATAGGAGGTAAAAATATGTTTTATAGGTATTAAAAATACATTTTATAGGAAGCATAGACTTCTCAAAAAGAGACCAAAGGAAAGTCATTAAGATAGCTTCAAAGGTTATAGTAATTATCTCTACTTTAAAAATAATTAAAATTTTAAAAATAACTTTTATATTCTCCATTCTGTTTAATTTATTTTTTAAATTTAGTATCAGCAGAACCTTAAGTTTGGCAAAAGATAATAATAAGGAAATGAAGAGAACATCATTTTAAAATATAATAATGGTTTTCCAATTCAAATACAAAGCTAAAATAGTATGATTATTTCATATTACTTTTTGGTTGTAATAAAAATAATAAAACCAATTTTTACAAGGCTGAAAAGAATTTCACTAGAACACTGATTTTCTTAATATTTTAAACAAAAAATTATGTTTCCTTGAATATAAATGATCTGATCCCAACACAGGGCCACTTAATTAAAGGATGACTTTTGTATTATTAAAGCTTATCTATATGTATGTATATAGCTTTTGCATTCAACTAGTTGACTAGGGAAGGCTTTCAAAAGATTTAAGAGGTATTCATTTGTTGAACTAATGCTTTATATTCACCTTTGGGAAATAGTTTAAGCCTGCTGTGTCAATTAGCTTAATTGATAAGAACTTCAATTGGTCCTGGAGTGTGTTAATTTCCTGAGGTGAGCCTATTGAGAGAATTACTTAGAGAAACTTTCACAGTTGGGAAACCTTTCAAATGCACTTGACTTAATCTGGGATTGGGTTACCACACTTTCACACATATTAGATGCCCCAAATAGTCCTTACTTTAGCACCTTTGATGTCAAGACAATCTTCTGCTCCCTCTTTCTCAGTTTTCTTCTGTCACTCACTTAGACAAGAAGGACAAAAATTAATCCTGATTGTTACAAAAGGTAAAATTTTCAGTGCTTGAAAATTGCTCTTTAGTGTAAGGAAGAACTTCCTTAAACTTTTCTCAAAATTATAAGATGTGTAGTTTGGAGGTGGGTTACGAATATGCCTATATGTGCTTCTGTTTACCCACATAGATCCTTTACATATGCAATACTATGTTATCATAGCAGATCTATGAATTACTTATTTCCATTTTATAAATGCAACAAACCAGGCTCAGAGAAATTAAATAACTATTTAAGGCTGCATAGCAGAGCCACACATTAAATCAAGTTTGGAAAACTCTGTTCTTTTCTCCACATTATGCTATCTTGTTAAAGATGAGCTGGGCAGTAGCTTTGAGGCATATGCTAAAAGAAATTCAAGCAATTGTTGGGAATTTAGGGAAGGGTTGGACTAAGGTCTTGCACTTACCTTTGAGTCACTTGACGGCCTATTCTCTTTCTGAAGTGTCTGAAAATTAATGAGATCTCTCTCTCACTCTCTTCCGCCCTCTCTCTCTCTCCCTCTCTCTAATTTTTACATGATGGTTGATGCATACAGAGAGTGATGAAAACAACTATAAGCCAAATTTAGGCCTCTGGAGCCTAAATTCTTCTGAGCTTTGCAGCTTGATTGACAGGTTTCCTCCCAGTTACCCTTACCCTCTGTGCAAAGTGCTGGTAGCTGCTCAAACTCATTAACTTCTTTGTTTATCGATATTCACACCTATGGGACTTTTCCCTTAATTTCACTCTCACAATCCACGTCCTAATTATGCTCTGAACTTTTCATCTCTCCACTTATCTGAAAATCTATGGCTCTCAAATCTCTGTCTTCAGTGTGGTCCACTTTTGTAAAATGTATTCTTAATGAACCCCGTTACCTGGATTTTATACAGCTCTCCTAAACTAAAATGCCCCAATACCAACAAATTGGCTAACGTAGAAGAAATGGATAAATTTCTAAAATCATACAACTTACCAAGACTAAATCAAGAAGAAATAGAAAATCTGAACAGACCAACAACCTGTACGGATTGAATCAATAAGTTTTTTAAAATCTCACATCAAAGAAAAGCCCAGAACAAGATAGATGTATAGCAGAATTATACCAAACATTTAAAGAAGAATATCAATCCTTCTCAAACTTTTCCAAAAATTTAAGGAAAAGAAGTACCTTTAAACTATTTTTAAGAGTCCAGCATTACTCGTATATCAAAGCCAGATAAGGACACTACAAGAAACTAAAATGGCACGCCAATATCCTTGATGTACATAGATACAAAAATCTTCAACACAATATTAGCAAACTGAATTCAACAGCACATTTAAAGGATCATTCCTCATGATCAAGTGGGATTATTGTCCATAAAGTTGGATGTCCCACTATCCTTGCATCTATGAAATAATGGATAATGTGATATGGTTTATCACATTTATTATGCAAATAGATAAATGCAAATAGATAAATGCATTTATTATGCAAATAGATAAATGTGTTAAACAATATTAACAGAATAAAAAACAAACACATAGAATCATTTCAGTGGATGTTGAGAAAGCATTTGATAAAGTTCAACATTTGTTATGATAAAAGGTCTCAAAAAATTAAGCATGGAAGAAACATGTCTCAATACTATAAAGGCCGTATATAAAAAGTTCACAACCAGCCTCATACTCAAAAGTAAAATGTTGAAAGATTTTCTCTAAGATCAGGAACAAGACAAAGATGCTGACTCTTGCCACATCTATTCAACATAGTCCTGGAAGTCCTAGCCAGAAAAACTAGGCAATAAGAAGAAATAAAAGGCATCCAAATAGAAAACAAATAAGTGAAATTGTCTCTGCAGATGACATGATCTTATCCACAGAAAATTTCAAAGACTCCACCAAAAAACTGTAAGAACTGATAAACAAATTCAGTAAAGTTGCAAAGGACAAAATCAACATACAAAAATCAGCAGCATTTTCTTATACTAACAATAAACAATCTGAAAAAATTAACATATTAATCCCATTCAAAAGAATGTACACACAAAAAATACTTAGGAGTAAATTTAACCAAGAAAGTGAAAGACCCATATATAGAAAAGTATAAAACATCGATTAAATAAATCACAGTTGACACAAATAAATGGAGAAGTCCCATGTTCATGGATTGGAAGAATTAATATTGTTAAAATGTCTATTCTGTCCAAATAATTTACAGATTCAGTGCAACCCCTACCATAATTTCAATGTCATTTTTCATAGAAATAAAAAAATATATATAAAATGTATATGAAATCACAAAGTACCCTGAATAGCTAAAGGAATCTTAGGTAACAGGAACAAAGTCAGAGGCATCACACTGCCTGACTTCAAAATCTATTACAAAGTTATAATAACCAAACAATATAGCACTGGCATAAAAATAGACATTACATTGACCAATGGAACAGGCTAGGGAGCTGAAAAATAAACCCACACATGTAGTCAATTGATTTAAACAAAAGTGCCAAAAACATACAATGGAGAAAAGACAGTCTGTTCAGTGCTGTGGGGAAAAACTGGATATCCACATGCAGAAAAATAAAACTTTATCTTTATCTCACACCATCTACAAAATCAACTCAAAATGAGTTACAGACTTAAATGTAAGACCTGAAACTAAAGGCACTTAAGGAAAATACAGGGGAAATCCTCCATAACGTTGGTCTAGGCAAAGATTTCTTGGACACAACTCCAAAAGCATATACAATCAAAGCAAAAATAAATAAATGGAATTGCATTAAACTAGAAAGCTGCTGCATAGCCAAGACAACACTTAGCAGAATGAAGAGACAATTCACAAAACTGGATAAAATATTTGCAAACCATGTATCTAATAAGTGCCTAATATCCAAAATACATAAAAAAACTCAAACAACTTTATATCAAGAAAACAATGCAATCAAAAAATGGGCAAAGGATCTAACAGATACTTCTCAAAAGAAGACACATGACAGCAAGTATGTGAAAAATGCTTATCATCACTAATCAGCAGGAAAATGCAAATTAAAACCATAGTCAGTATCACCACCACACATCTGTTAGAATGGCTATTATGAAAAAGGTAAAAGATAAATGTTGGTAGAGGTATGGAGAAAAGGGAATACTTGTGCACTGTTATTGCGAATGTACATGAATACAGTCATTATAGAAAACAGTATAGGGTTTCTCAGAAAACTAAAGACAGAATTACCATATGATCCAGCAATTCATCTTCTGGTTGTGTACCCAAAGGAATTGAAATCAATATATGATAGAAATATGTACACTCCAATATTCATCTTAGCATTATTCACAATAGCCAAGATACGAAAGCAACCTATGTGTTCATCATCAGATGAATGGATAAAGAAAATGTGGCGTATACATATACTGAATTTTGAATACTATTCAGCCTTAAAATTGGGGGAAATCCTAACATTTGCCACAACTTGGATACACCTGCAACACATTGTGCTAAGTGATTGTGCTAAGCCAGGCACAAAAAGAAAAATACTGCGTGATCTAGCCTATATATGGAATGCAAAAAAGCTGAACTTGTAGAAGTAGAGAGTAGAATGATTATTGCCACATGCTGGAGAATGGAGAGAAAATGGGGACATAGGAGATATTGATCAAAGGGAAATTTCAGTTAGAGAGGAGGAATAAGCCTTACTGTCTATGGCACAGAGTAGTGACTACAAATAAATAATAATTCATTGTATATTTCAAAATTGCTAAAAGAATAGATTTTAAATATTTTCACCAAAAAACTGATAAATATGTGAGGTGAAATATTTCCTAATTAGTCTGATTTAATCATTCTACATTGATACCATACATCAAACCATCACAACATACTCCATAAATATATATAATTATTTGTCAATTAAAAATAAATTTAAAAAATAAAAAAATAAAATGTCCCAAATAATCTAGTAATCTTTATATTTACTTATGTCTCGTCTTTGAGTCTTCAAAACCATAAAGTAGAGCCTTTGAATTTACCTTGGCCTTCTATAATAAACTAACGATCCAAATGGCCACACTTAGTTTTAGTTAATGGGACTTCACTTCCTAAACACCATTTGCCTCATTGGTCTTACTTTGTTTTCTCTTAGAATAAGTTCTCTTCTTCTTTGGTCTGGTCTAGAGAAGTCACCTTCTTAAAGAGTTACTATTATAAAATCAATATGAGAATGTCTCCGCAAAGCTAAATAAATACAAAATAAATAATAGGTATATTTTATGTAATCTCATTTGATTCTATGAACAAGTGTTGCTTTTTATTAAGATGTGAAAATTAAAGCTGAAAATATACAAGTGTATTGCCAAATGCCTCATAGCAAATAAATTGCAGAACTGAGTATCACTTCTTTCTTACCACAGTCTCTTTCTATTATTGCAGGCTAGACCTACCAAAAATTCCTCTTTATACATGGGCTGAAATCTAAATTCCTTTAAAATGTGGCTCTACCTTCAAAATTTTAACTTCTTTCACTCCCACACATTTAATTAATGCTTGTTTAACAAAACTACTCGTCATTTCCCTCAGTAAGCAGGTCTTTATAAATCCACACGTTCCAACTGTCATTAGAGGGGTAACCAGTAATAAGAATTTTTCTCTACAGAACTTGAACCTCCATGAGCAGGAGAACGTTGCTAACCCCTACTCCTCTCTATCTGTAGCACTCACAACTTTGCCAACACTATTTTTCTTAGGAATGATTGTATTACGCTCTGTATTCCTTTTTGTGTGGTTACTTACGATAAGAAGCCCTATTCTCCCACACCATTTCTTTTCCCTTAGAAATTTGATTCCTTTAGATTCTATACATTACCTTTTCTGACCTCTGACTCCCACTGCTCGTCATCTTCTAAAATCTTTTCACTGGACTCTCTGAAATTCCATGTCAGTTATGAAGATAAACCTTTATATACCTACCATTTTCAGTGAACAGTCTTCACCTTTTTTCTCTAACCTAAAGCCAGATTTCTGCTGTGTCTGTTTCCTATGTGATCCTATCAAATAATCATAGGTTTTTCCCCACCTGCCTCCTGCCATCCATTTTAGAGGTGAATTTGTCTCCTCTTTCCTCATTATTGTTGCCTCCAGATACTTTTCTCTCCATCCTTTCTAATCCAAATCTTATGTTTCTATGTCACTAATCTATCATCGTGTCTCTTTATGGCAGACATCTACCTCTCCCTTAGGGTCACTATTCTTTCTTCTTTGACATTAGCACTGGATTCACTATTATTCTCTCCAACATCACTCCTATCATAACTCTTTGCGATTTCCCTGTCCACAAAGATGCTTCCATGATTCAAATCTCTTAGCAATTTGATCTTCTTTACTCTACCACAGCTATACATCCTCATGATCATACCCTACTGCTTGTCATGATCAATGACTACTGCAACCTCCATCCATAATTTCAACATCACACCTCCAACTTCTTTTTCTGGCTCACTCCCTCTAGTAATCCAGCTCCAACAATCCTTCAAAATGCAAAACATATCTTATTGTATAACTTGACAATATTCCTTAGCCCCTTACTCACTTCCATCCCTACTCAGATTAAATTCCATAGCCAATGATTATAATCATTTTGCTCTGTTTCATACACACTCAGCCTCCTTGCCCTCTGCCTGCAGCCGCACAAATGTATACGTCTGGAAAAAAGCACACAATTATGCTGACTGGCAACTCTTTATAATCATTATCATTAGCCTCAAATGGTTCCTTAATGATGCCCAGTAATCATATTTTATTTTGTTATTCTTATTCATGCTTCCTTTCAACTAGAGAAATGCTTCACAGTTGTTCTTTTCTTAAACTTCCAAAATCTCCTCCTTCATCCTCATTCTCAGATGATGATTTGCTTGCTATTTCAGTACTGACTACATAATTTGTAAGACTTGGTGCAAAATAAAAATACAGGATCTCTTGTTTTAAAAGCAGAAAAAAAGTGCTATTAAAGGCACTAAAATATAATGCTTTTTGGTTCCACAGACTCTCCTTCTCAAAATATCGTATCATTTTTAAATTTAGTATTTAATGATGCTCTAAGCAAAGAAAAATTAAAAATTTAAGTTGCTAGTATGGATTCTACCATTTGTCTTTATATTGTGGAATTCCAGTTTTACATGCATTTATAAGAACATTTAACCCATATGCATAGTAACCAAACTCACAGAATTCATATTATGTAGCTTATACATGTAAATGTATGTTTTTCTTGACAGAATAGTAGAAATGCTACACAAAACTAACTCAACTGTTTACTTTTACTTCTTGATGTGTGCATGTTCTACCTAAATCCTCTACCTTCAACATATTGATGAATAAGGGTGGAAAGGAAATCGTACTGTAGGTTACTTTGTCTTCCCCCTTCTTTTTATGTCATCATTTTCAGTATAAATAGTCAGCTAAGACTGAAAGGTAACATGAATGAGAAAAGATATAACAGGGCTTCCTTTTTTTTGCACCCAACAATTTTTTTTAGTTTTTAATTTTTGTCCATACATAATAGGTATATATATTTATAAGGTACATGAGCTGTTTTGATACAGGCATGCAATGTGAAATAAACATATCATGAAGAATGGAGGATTCATCCCCTCAAGCATTTATCCATTGAATTGTGAACAATCCCATGACACTAATAGGGCTCCTTGATCATTTGTGTTTCTTGAAACATTACTAATTTTGAGTTGGAAGCAAGTTCTTGTACTATCTGAAAAGTGTGACTTTTTGGGACCTCAATGGCCCAGGCTTACTCAGTCATAGACTGGTTTACCTTGTACTTGCTTTGAGTCATGATGAACTCCCACACACTGTGGGTTCATTGGAATTCTGTGCTCAAGGCCATTGGTAGTGCTATATGTGAATGAAGTGGCAAGGAAGCAGATACATATGTTTTGTACATCTCTGTTTAGACTCACACTCCCTTGTCTCAATGGATTTTACAAAACACACATTCAAAGATAAAATGCTAATAATTTCATGACATCAACAGAAGATAGTTAAAATAAATAATGGACCTTTCTGAGCATGGAGACTTTTGCAATTGCATGGGTTGCATACCCATGAGAATAGGCATGCCATCCAAAGAATAGGACAAGGACTGCCCTATTTTATGAGAAATAGAAACCATCAGAAGAGAACTTTTATAATCTCCTACCACCACACCACCATTCTGACCTGCCTCTACACCCATATCCTCAAATTCCCACCTACTTTGAGGAACAGTCCATACTCCTGTGTATGTTTTAGCCTTTCACATCTATAGAAATCTCTCCTCTTTCAACTATTCAAGGTATTACATTTCTCCCTTTTCTTTCCCACATCCTCTCTACTAGATCATTCTTATCAGCATGTACACATAGTGTTATTTCTCCTACATAAAAAAATAAAAACTTTTCTTAACCTTATCACTCAATCAAGCTACCATAACATTTATCTCCCTATCTTTAAAGCAAAACTTCTTGAAAGAATGGTTTATTCCTGCTGTGTTCAATGTCTTTACTTCCACTCACCTTTGAATTTACTCCAATTAGGCATGACCATCGATGCCACCTGAGATGCCTTGTGGCATTGTTTTGCTAATTCTAATGACCAGTTTATGGTCAAATTCTCATCTTATTGTACCTGTTGCAGCACTTGATTAAAAATTGATCTCTTGTCTTTGAAACTTACTTTTTACTTGGTTTCTGTGATGGTTAATTTTATGTGTCATATTGGCTAGACCACAGTATCCAGATATTTGGTCAAACACCAGCCTGGATGTCACTGTAAAAATTGTTTTCAGATAAAATTAGCATTCAAACAAGTAGACTTTTAGTAAAGCAAATTACTCTGCATAATTCTGGTGGGCCACATCCAATCAGTTGAAGACCTTAAGAGAAAAAAGACTAAAGCCCCCCAAAGAAGAAGAAATACTCCTGTCAGACCACCATCAACCTTGAACTGCAACATCAGTGCTTCCTTGGGTCTACAGCCTGCAGCCTATCCTGCAGATTTTGGACTTGCCAGCCTCTACAATCATGTGAGTCAATTTCACACACACATACACACACACCACTGGTTCTGGTTCTCTAGAAGACCCTGACTAATATAGCTTCCAAGACTATGAAGTCAACCACCTAGTTTTGCCTTTACCCCTCAAGCTAGTCCAACTGAGTCTCATTTGCAATTTTTCCCCCATTTCCCCAATTTTTAAACTCTGGAGTACTGCAGGATTTGTCCTTGGCATTAATCTCTTTGCTATTTGTATTTACTCTCTAGGTAATTTCATCCACAATATGTTTTCAATACTGTCTAAGTGCTGGTAGTTCTCAATTTCTTTTATATATATATATTTTTATTATACTTTAAGTTCTAGGGTACATGTGCACAATATGCAGGTTTGTTACATATGTATACATGTGCCATGTTGGTGTGCTGCACCCATTAACTCGTCATTTACATTAGGTATATCTCCTAATGCTATCCCTCCCCCCTCCCCCACCCCACAACAGGCCCCTGTGTGTGATGTTCCCTTTCCTGTGTCCAAGTGTTCTCACTGTTCAATTCCCACCTATGAGTGAGAACACGTGGTGTTTGGTTTTTTGGCCTTGCCATAGTTTGCTGAGAATGAATTATGGTTTCCAGCTTCATCCATGTTTCTTCAAAGGACATGAACTCATCATTTTTTATGGCTGCATAGTATTCCATGGTGTATATGTGCCACATTTTCTTGATCCAGTCTATCATTGTTGGACATTTGGGTTGGTTCCAAGTCTTTGCTATTGTGAATAGTGCCGCAATAAACATACGTGTGCATGTGTCTTTATAGCAGCATGATTTATAATCCTCTGGGTATATACCCAGTAATGGGATGGCTGGGTCAAATGGTATTTCTAGTTCTAGATCTCTGAGGAATCGCCACACTGTCTTCCACAATGGTCGAACTAGTTTACAGTCCCACCAACAGTGTAAAAGTGTTCCTATTTTTCCACATCCTCTTCAGCACCTGTTGTTTCCTGACTTTTTAATGATCACCATTCTAACTGGTGTGAGATGGTATCTCATTGTCGTTTTGATTTGCATTTCTCTCATGTCCAGTGATGATGAGCATTTTTTCATGTGTCTTTTGGCTGCATAAATGTCTTCTTTTGAGAAGTGTCTGTTCATATCCTTCGCCCACTTTTTGATGGGGTTGTTTGTTTTTATCTTGTAAATTTCTTTGAGTTCTTTGCAGATTCTCTATTTCTTCTCTAGCACAAAAAAAAAACTCCTCTGAACTTCAGGTTCATATAGTCTGCTTATTTTGCATCCCCACTTAGATGTCAAATAGGTACTTCTAATTTAACATGGCTAGGAATCAGCTCCTGGTATGTGACTTCCCTCAAAAATCACTCTATTTTTCTCTTCAACTTTCTCAACTCAGTAAATGAGAGCTCCATTACTCTAATTGCTTGACCCAAAACTTTTGTGTTGTACTTGGCTCCTTTCTTTCTCTAATACTCCACATTAAATCAGAAAATCTTGTTGTCTGTGTTTTCAAAATACATCCAGATCCCAACCATTTCTTAACATTTTCATGTCAACCTCTCTGGACCACACAACTATCCTCTTGCTTCTGTATTATTATGGGAACTGGCTAATTGGTGTTTCTTTTCCTGTCATTAGCTTCTACCCACCACTCCTTGTGCCACGTCCTATATAATTAACATCGAGAGTTGTCTTATTTGTCTCAAATCAAATTATACTTTTTTTGTGGCTCTAAACTCTTTTCTCTTACCCAGAGAAAACGTCAAAATATTTGTAATGTCCTATGTTATATGAGACCGTGTTACCTCTATGACTTTATGTCCCTTGGTTATCCTGTTTCTTTCTTTTTCTTCAAACACATAAGTTGTGCTGTGTTTTCAAGGCTTTTGTATTTGCTGTTCTTTTGTGAAGGGTGTAAGACCTAGGTCTAGATTCAATTTTTTTTTTGCATGTGGATGTCCATTTGTTCCAGTATTATTTGTTGAAAGAGTTATCTTTTCTCCACTGTATTGCCTTTGTTCCTTTGTCAGGGATCAGTTGACTATATTTATGTGAGTCTATTTCTGGGTTCTTTATTCTGTTCCATTGATCTATTTGTCTAATCTTTCACCAATACCACATTGTCTTGATTAATGTAGCTTTATAGTAAGTCTTGGAGAACATACTTCCTTAAGTGTTTTACCACCTCCTCTTTGTCTTCTCATCTGCTGAAACACTATGCATAGTCAGGACATGACTGACATGTCACTCAGGGTCCAGCTGCCTCACCATACAAGGTGAGTTAGACTCTCTGCCTCTGTATTTGCACAGGGAAATATGCATTTCTTTTTACTATATTTTAGAACCAGTCCCATTGTATTTAATTAGTGCATTTACATTTATGTTTCCTTTCGAAAATAAATCGAAGAATAAGTCCTATTCATCTGTGTATTCCAAACACCTGAAATACTATCTGATGCAAAGCAGAGGCCATGACACATGTATCTGGTCAGGAGGCCTTCAACTTTTCCCTGTTCTGAATAATGTTGGCTATGAGTTTGTCATAGATAGTTTTTTATTACCTCAATGTATGTCTCTTCTATGCCAATTTTGCTGAGTGTTTCAATCATAAAAGGATTCTGGATTTTGTCAAGTGCTTTTTCTGTATCTATTGAAATGATTACATGATTTTTGTTTTTAATTCTGCTTATGTGGTGTATAAGAATTTGTCCCACCGAGATGAGGAGGGTTGTGTTGGTGCCCAGAATAAATCTCCACTCATTTTAGCATTTGGAGGACTATGCTCCTTGCTGACCAGCTACCTGATTATTTACTCAAAAACAAAGGCTATCTCTCAACATGTCCCAATTTCTATTCACAAAGCTTACAACATGACCTCCCAGGAATTTTCATGATATAGAACAAGACCCACATCAGCTATCTAAATGAGCAAACCAATGAATTTGTTTTCTTATTAATATTTTTAAATTTGTATTATATATATTTAAGGTATACAATATGATTACTTGATATACTATAATAATCATTTAACTATGTATAGGTATATCATACTATACACATATATAGTTAATATATATTATGTAATGTATATTATGATACACATATACATAATTAAATGATTATTACGGTAAATTAGCATATCTATATATGTATATACAAAGAGGGTTTATAGATATATAAAGATATATATATAAAAAGAGGTAACTAATTGAAATAATGGATATGCTAATTTACTGCAATAATCATTTAACTATTATAGTTGAATGATTATATTATATATATGTGTGTGTGTGTGTGTTGGTAAGAGCACCTAAAATAAACTCTCCTGGAAAATTATCAATATGCAGTATAGTATTATTAACTATAATCCTTATATGCTATAAATCTCTAGATTTATTCATCCTACATAACTGCAACTTTATTATACTCTTGACCTACATAGCGAATTTGTTTTTAAATATGAATGATGAGCCAAAATCAGCAGGCATTTCAGGAACACAAATAGCATAAAATGCAAAGCCCAAGTAAACCAACAAAGACATTGACCCAAGGTGAAACAGTGATTCAGGAACAGAAGAAAATATTTTAGTTTGTAGAGTGGGATAACACATTTTAAACTATACACTAATGTGCAGAGAAATTGTGACTGTTTTCTTTTTCTTTCATTTTTGGTTGTGGTTGTTGTTGTTTTGAGGCAGGGCCTCAATCTGTCACCTAGGTTGGAGTGCAGTAGTGCCAAGATAGCTCCGTGCAGCCTCAATCTCATGGGCTCAAATAATCCTCCTGCCTCAGCCTCCCAAGTAGGTAGGACTAGAGGCACACACCACCACACCTGAATTTTTAAAACGTTTTTGCACCGACGGGACCTTGCTATGCTGTCCAGGCTGGTCTTGAAGTCCTGGCCTCAAGGGATCCTCCCACCTTGGCCTTCCAAAGTGCTGAGATTATGGGCATGAGCTTCTGTGCCCTGCCAACTTTTTTGTTTGCTATACCCGAGATAATATTCTTCAAATGTTTTCCACTCGCTGGGAAAACATTGCTGGGTGATAAGAATGTAGATGTTAGCATGTTAATAACCTCTTTTAAGTTTAAGATTATGACCTTCAAACTCATGGTAAATCTATTCCGGTTTCACATTTTCTCATTTATGGTCTCCCAAATAGTATCTGAGGAATTTCTAGGCATAAGAAAGAGACAAGGATTTATTGTGCTCATTCTTTTTTTTTCCTGGACTATGAAGCAGGTGGCTCTATCCACTTGGTCATGTTGCACTCACCCACTCCCTGCTGAAGTGGTGGTTGGTGAACTTGTGGTCTCTACTCACTTGGCTCAGTCAAGTCCTTAGATCCCCTCTATTGATTTGCTTCTTGCAGTCTTCAAATATTTTTCTGACATCAGTCATTGAATTGGTTCCCTATGGATTTTTGGTTTTGAAATAATTCCAGATGTGTAGAAAAGTTGCAAGAATTACACCAAAATTCCTATATATTTACCCTTAGATTTTCCAAAAGTTAATATTTTAACATATTTGCTTTATTGTTTCCTCTGTCTGTGTAGAGGGAAGGATATCATTACTTTTCTGAATTATTTCACAGTAAGCTGCACACATTATTTCCCTTTACCCAAAATACTTCAGTGTATATTTCTTAAAATCAAGGATACTCTCTTACATACCCAAAATAAGATTATCAAAATCTTGTTAATTCAGATTGGTATAATATTCTTGTTTAATATAATGGCCTTATTACAATTTTGTGAAATTTCCATAAGTGTTCTTTATAACAAAAGGAAAAACAATCTAATTCAGGACATCACATTTACTATTAAGTCTTTTTAAGTATCCTTTAATATGGAGCAGTTCCTCAGTCCTTCTTTGTCTTTTATGACATTGATATTTAAAAAGCATAGAGGATTTATTTCATAAAATGTCTGTCACTCTGGGTTTGTCTGATGTTTCTACATGATTATGTTCAGGTTAAGTATTTTTGGTAGGAACACCATGAATGTCTACTTTTTGATTTATAGCCTAAATTGTTTGCCCTACATGAAGTAGCTCCAAAGTCACTTTGTACCTAACAAGGAAACTTTCAGGCTTTCTAGTCAACATCACTGGCAAACTTTTCTGCTTCTTCATCAGGTACAAAGGGATTCAGAAAACCTTCCAAGATATGTATAAATACTGTGATTCTCTGCGGATTGAAACTCAAACTCTGCTACTGCCTAAACATGGAAAACCCTACATTTATCCTAAAATAGCATTCCTCATATTTCGAAAATAAGGATAAAGATCCTCTTTTCTCAACTTTCCCTTCAACCTAACACCCTGCCTCAGAGAGAAACAAAAGGAATATGCATCCAGAAAACAAAAATAAAATTTGATGATTAAAAAAAAGAGAACATGAAGGAATTCTTAGAAACTGAAGACATTAGTGCTGAATTTAAAAAAATAATAATAAAAGAAGAGTTCAAAGATAAAGTCCAAGAAATATCCCAGAGGACAGAACATGATGGAAACACATAAAGGTAAACGCAATGTAAAGAACAAATTCAATTAATCAAGGAAGATCTAAAAGAGAAAACAGAAATTTATATTACCATCCAGAGTATTAATCAAGTGCAAGAGCAACATAAAGACACTCTCACACATGAAAGAAATAGTTAATTGTTTTCACACTCTATCTACAGAAGTTACTTGAATATCTATGTGTTTTGTCCTAGTGACAACCTTTGCAAATTGCCAAGTTTACCTTCCGAGACACTAGAACAATAAAAAAGTGTCATGAGAACAAAAGAGCGGATGCAAGTTTCTTGTGCCTAACCAGGTTTGGATGAGTGGCATCAGTATCAGTGGCATGATTTTATAGGAAAATTTCACAGCTCTAAATATCCAGTGCCTCCATCTTGGCATAGATATTAAAGGAAACTTATATCCCTTAACAGTATTTGTTGAAATCTTTCTAACCATCACTTCACTACCCTGTGTTGAAGCCCATAAAAAGGCATATTCATCTTTTCTCAACAGAAAACACAAAGGCAAAGAAACTTTTTGGCAAAATACATTTTTAAAAACTGTCTAAAAAGTCATTTTTCAAATAGGAACAAAAGATCCCATGACTCTGAGAAACTGGTAGAACAAACGATATGATTGTGATTACCCTTAATATTGTGAGCCATCATGGTACAGAGCAGTAATTCTAATAATAGTTTGTAAAGAAGCATATATAACGTCGAGAAAAAATATTTTGTCCCACCTTGGTAAATATTTCCATGGCCATAGTTTTTGGGAGACAATTCTCCATGGGTCTCTTATTTCTGCACATTATCAAAGGCATTCATTGCTAATTTAATCTAAAATGCATTTTCAAGTATGTTTGTATATCAGGCAGTCTTAGAAAATAAAATTTTCTCTCCCTGGTGCAGATTTGTTTACATTACAGGGTGAGAAAAATAACGTCTGTCTCTGGAGGGGAAGATGGAAATTGAGAATTTTGGCTCAGGGAAACACTATAATGATGTGTTGGTCATTACTACTGATGTAATAATATTTGGTCTCTAACCCAAGAGCCCCATGTCTCTGCTAGTTTTTATGAAAATGTAGCAGGCTAACTTATCAGCATGTAAGCGGAATAAAATCTCAAACGTTTTGCAGTTCTCCTTAATAACAATGCAAATGCTTTTTTTTTATTTTCGTCTTTTAGAAAAAATATAAGCAGGCTGTTTTTGTAGGCATCCATAAACTGATTTTTAAAATTATATGGAATTACAAAGGACTTAAAATAACCAAAACAATTATGAAAAAAAACATGCTTGGAGAACGAATACCTCCTGATTTCCAAAATTGTTTTAAAGCTACAATAATTAAGACAGTGTGGTAATAGATATGAAGATAAACACATATATCAGTGGAAATGAATCAAAGTTCAGAAATAGAACCACATTATATGGTAAATTGATTTTTAACAACAATGTCAAGGTAATTTATTGAGGAAAAGATTTTCTTTTCAAAAAGCGTACAGGAACAACTAGCAATCAAATATAGGAAAGAAAAAAAATGAACATGGATCTTTACCTGACACTATATGCAAACTTCGACTTAAAATAGACCTAAATATAAAAAGCTTAAACTAAAATACTAGAAGAAAATATAGGAGAAAATATTTATGAATTTGAGCTAGACAAATAATTCTCGCACAAACGAGCACATACCATAAAAGGAAACTTTGATAATTTGAGTTTCATTAAAATAAAAAACAAAAATAAAACTTTTATTCCCTCAAATACACCATTAAGGAAACAAAAAGTCAAGTCAGACTAGGGGAAATATTGTCTCTCTCTCTCTTTGTCTTTCTTTCCATATATATGTGTATGTGTATGTGAATGTGTGTATATAAAATTATACACATATATATAATATGTAATATATAAATATATTTTAAAACGTTAAAGTATTTAAGATGGAGATAATATATATGGAAACAATAGCAACTGCTTATTTTGCTTTAATTCTTAAAGTCTATATTGTTCATTTTTAGACAACATAATAAAACATCTAACTAGTCATTTTTAATGGACATACTCAGAATTTCTGGCATTGTCTAAAAGCTGTTCATAGAGAAAGTTGTTAAATATTTTGGTACTAAGCAAAAAAACTGGAAAATAGTTTGGAAATAAACTCAAGTATAATTTTTTTTAAAATACAGTGTTTGCTCTGGAGGTTAAGAGTGTTGACAGGAAGGGGATACTTTTAACTTAGAATTTGTTAGCAACTTTCAATGTTTGTTACTTTCACACAATTTGTCACCTATGTAAATTCATACTTGAAATGGTAAATTTCGGTATCGCCTCTTCTTTTCAAAATTTCAGCCAGTTGGCTATCTATTGTTGTTATCATTAGAAGAGCTCATTGTGGTTGATTGCCTCAGAGCAACTCTCTGACCAACAGCAACTTACAGGCTTAAAACCATCAATAACTTAAGTGGGCCTATACTCAAGAACTCTCTATTAGTATCTAAGTTAGTATTTCTCAAACTTGGATATACATGTAATCGCTTCAAAAAATACTTACACCTGGATCTCCTATCATTTTCATTTTTTAATTATCTGGGAAATGGAATTTTAAAAATAGTCCCTGTTAATTAACATGTGCGGCAATATTGATAATGCCCTGATTAATCCAGCCTTACTGTAAAACTAATCATGTGCGGCAAGTTAGTAGCAGCTCAGTGTTTCATGACTGTACTTCATGTACAAGTCAGTTGGTTTCTGTGGATGAAAAGCATCTTAATGACTCTTTTTGCTATTCAAATTACCACTTTCATAAAGCTTTATTTCAAGCTTCTAATCTACTGCTGTAGATTTGAGGAAATGTAAGCTTTAGAGACAGAAGATTATTAGTCAATTACGCAAAGAAGAAAGAGAATTTCATACCATGAGTTTCTAAACCACATTTTTGTTCTGTACACAGTCCTCTGATTCAACTTATGATAGAGGATCCAGAAATATCATCGCATAGTCATTTATAGTGATTTTTTTCCCTAATTTAAGTAATTAGATTTATTAATTAATCTTAGGTAATTAAGATTTATTAATCTGGTTAACAGAATGACTTTGTAGTTTTAAAAGTTTTAGTCATATATTATCCATTGCTAACTGATTGCTTTCTAAATCAGTGGTTATTATGGGCCGAATTGTGTCCCTTCCAAATGCCTATGTTGAAGTCCTAACTTCACTACCTCAGAATGTGACTATATTTGGAGATGAGTCTTTAAAGAGGTAAAATGAGGTCTTTAGGGAGGAATCTAATGCAATACGACTTGTCTCCTTATAAGAAGAGAAGATTAGAAGATTAGGACACAGACACACAGAAAGAGGGTCATGTGAGGACACAGGCAGAAAGTCATCATCTGTAAGCCAGGGTGAGGCTTCAGAAGAAACCAACCCTGCCAACACCTGGATCTCAGACTCTAGTCTCAAGAATTTTGAAAAAAAAAAAAAAATTTTGTTGTTTAAGACACCCGGCCTATAGTACTTTGATGTGGCAGCCTTAGCTAATGAATACACTGGTTGTCAACCTTGGCTGCTCAATAGAACCACCTGTAGTTACAAACAATAAAATTAAAATAAAATGAAATAACATCCATGCTAATTAAATCATAATGGAGCAAGGGATTGTGAAGGGAGTACACGGTGAGTAGGCACTAATTTTTAAAAACAATGTCTCTGTGTAATGTTTAGATTATTGAGGACAGGCTTACATTTAACTGACTTCTTTCTGTAACAGTCTCCTGCAAAGTTGCCTATAGAAGATAATCTGAAAATTGCTAAACATATCATCAACTCTTTACAATCTATTCAGGTTCTATTTGCTAATTTGACAAGTGTGTTCCTTAAATTATTCAGTATCTAGTATTTCTTATCTATTTAGTATTTAGCATTGTGTGACAGAAAACAGAAGTGAGGTGGTTTAAACTTTTATTATCCATTATTGAAATAAATTTCTTCTTCTAATGGCTTATGCAGAAGAAGCATTATTTATTCTACTGCAATATTTCCCTTAAGAGCTAGATCTTGATATGTTCCCGTGTTTTCAATTTGATAGCATAGCCCCAAAGAAAACATAAATATCAGAATTTTAAACAATTTCATAGTAATATTGAGGATTAATGCCAATTATTAATTTAAAGTTTTTAAAATTGTTTGGTTTGATTTCCTTAAAAAGAAAATACTACATCAAATGTAAAAATAGAAAAAAATGTCCTGAAACAGAAAAGAATACAAATAAGAAAGCAGCAGCTGCAGCAACTAACCACAGCAGGAACTAACTGCCCAGATACGCCATTTAAAAGTTAGCTCTTTCCATACTGTTGTTTCCAAATGAGTACTGCTGCTTGCTTGGCTGAAAATACATAAGACATATGACACATATTGATCATAATATGCATGGTAGGAAGTCTCCAGGAACTGACCCGTATAACAGGATAAAAGTCATCTGGAGACCTCTGGTTGTTCCTGCAAATCAATCCCGAGACCAAAGATGGTATAGGGTTTAAAACCAAAAAATCAGGTGCTGGAATAGATGGGCTGAATTCCAATCTAGTTTTAATCTTTTTGGTTTCGTGACTTTAGGAAAATTATTACTTATTATTATTATTATTTTAATCTTTGTGTGAATTTTTTGCCTCAAAAGTTTGTTATGGTCATTTATTTAAGGTAGTAGTAAACACTTAATGTTAATTTACATCAGACGTTGTCTATTACAGCTCTGTAGAAATCCTTACATCTTTTTCTACATTTCCACATGACTTTTGTATTTGATCTATATTTTACTTTTCCATTCCATTTCTTTTTCACTGTCTTTTATACTGACGATATCAGAAATTCAGATTGCTTTTTAAAATTCTGTATCAACCACATGCCAATATGGTTCCATTTTGGTTTTCACTGGAAATTTTCCAACTGGTAATATACTGAAAGAGAAGCTCCTGCTCTCATCAGCCATAATTATCTCACTTGTCATCCCTTACTTCACTTTAGAAAGGGAATGTAGCTCTGAGATGGTTTGTGGTTAAAGAAAAAAAATTGAAGAAGGTAGTGTCAAAACCTTACAGAGAAAAAATTCTGCTTTTATTAAACAAACTGCTCCATTTTACCAGCTTTACCCACTTAGCCAGCATATACTGATAACTCTTCAGTTCTTTTCACTGAGTCATCACTTAACTCATCATCCATAATCCAGCAGCACTAAAACCTCAATCTGAGATATGACCCAAGGTCAGGCACTTAATTACTATGAACACTAATTCCTCTCAATATTTTATTCCTTTGAATCTCATTACTTCTAATAGCTCCTGAAATTTAATATTTCTGATAATTCCAATAATTCTTTTATCTGTAACATATTTAACACTGAGTATGGAACATACTGAATGTGATATATAATCATCTATCTGTTTTAAATATAACCTTTAAAATTATATGTCTTTTCTTCTTTAACTGGTTTTAGTACCCATGAGGACAAAGACTATGAACTAAATTTCTTCTTGTCCTCTGTAAAGCCCAGAAGAATGACAGGAACATAAGAGGCATATATTTAGCTTGATTTTATAAGCAATTATTCCTTCAAAATAAAACATAACAGAAAAACATCATTGGTGTTATTCCTTGGTGACTATGGTTTGGCTCTGTGTCCCCACCCTAATCTCATCTCGAATTATAATCCCCATATGTTGAGGGAGGGACCTGGTGGGAGGTGATTGGATCATGGGGATGGTCTCCCCCATGCTGTTCTCATGACAGTGAGGGAGTTCTCACAAGATCTGATGGTTTTAAAAGTGGCATTTTTCCCTGCCCTTTCTCTCTCTCCTGCCACTTTGAGAAGAAGGTGCCTGCTTCCCCCTCCACCATGATTGTAAATTTTCTGAGGCCTCCCCAGTTAAGCAGAACTGTGAGTCAATTAAACCTTGTTTCTTCATAAATTACCCAGTCTCAGATAGTATCTTTATAGCAGTGTGAGAACAGACGAATACATTTGGTATTTTACTTAATAAGGTACTGGATGGATGTATCTCTTATTTGACTTCATTGTCCTTATAAGATCTTGTTGTATCTTGGTTTGGTCATAGTCATGAGTAGAGATGAAATTAATCCCGTTGAAACAAAAGCTCTAGACATATTTCAAAATTCTGAGAAAATGTTATATTATTCTTGAGTCAGTGGTTTTATTTTGTGTGCATTAGTATATTGGTACAATGTACTGTGGATTTAATTTGGCTGCCTATTAATTACATGTGCAAAGAAATGTTCCTTGTTGTGCTAGATCTCATTAAATGATATAATGTAACAGGAACATGTTTCTTACATAGTTAATAATTTCATGTTTGCTTTTTAAATTTATTTTCATTCCATTGCCTGCTTGTCTTGAGGTGAATAATAAGCATATGACATGCATGAAAATCTGACTGCATAGATAAAAGGCCTGCCTTTTCACTATAAACTCCACTGGTGATTCATTACTTCCTTCACATTTGTGAAACTAGGAGGCTTCAAAAAGTAATACAAAATCATGATGTGAAAAGAAAGTAAATTTTTTACTTGCAGGAGATGGTTTGATATTCCCTGATCACAAGCCACAGTTATCATACTGCGTATTGTGTTAATTGGTATTTTCTATTCTAATGTTCACTGAAATTGTGAATGTCAATGTCTCCAAACACAATAGAGATTGATATACTGGGATCCCATGAAAAAAATCTCTTTTGGAATATATGAGTGTGTGTATTTGTGTTTGTGTGTGTACACACAAAAAATTTGCTATTTCTCAGACTGTAAGAGAGAGCATAATAAATAAAAAATAAATTGACTTTTAATAGTAGATTATATTAGAGAGCACTGATTACCAAATTCAATTAAGTCCTAAAGCTATAATTACCATTGTGTTGACTGATACATAATTTTCTCATAAGTGGTATTTTCTGAATCAATAGTGGGACTTCCAAACAGGCCCATAGAAGTAAAATGATCATTTCAACAAATTTTTCTAAATATATTGACCATTGGAAATTTTCCTATGATTTAGCCACTGCTTTTCAATCTAATGAGGGTTCTTGGCTAGAAGGATTGAAAAACATTTACAATAGATTTTTTTCTTATTAATAACCTTTCTTGATGGCATTAAAAATAAACATAACAATTATATTTGTTCAGGGTTATCACAGCATGTAGAATAAAAACAGGTTGCCCAAAAAGAAAAGGAATTAAAATTACCCATAAACCCTGCCTACAGCATAATTAAGAGTGAGATAATAATACAAGATAAAATTTACGTGTAAGTATGCATAACATACAAGACCACTGCAGTAGTCCCCAGAGTCTACGTCAGAACAAAATGTCAAACAAAAGTTGCATGGGAGGGGGAAGCAGGGTCCCTGTGGGCTAATCCACGGAAGAACAGAAACCCAAATGAAGTGGGAGTACTGGAAACAAGTCTGAGATCTGGTGCATTAGTGCACCAGCTAGATAGAAGATGGAAGAAAGGGTCTTAGCAACCGCTTGGCATGAGAGGTGCTAGCCTTGATGAGAGAAGGAGGCACCCTACAAGAGGAAGATAAATCTGAGATGGTTGGTGGCTAAGATAAACAGGAAAATCTAAAAAGTCTATGTCAAAATATCTCAGGAAACCAGAGCAAAAATTCTCCATTTATTAAAGAAGCTACTCCACTATACCAATGAAAAAAGACTTCTTTTTTTTTACTAGAATACTGGGTATAATATTCAAACCCCTTCATCCATTCAGCCTCATTGTGTCACCTATATATTGTGGGTCCAGGTAAATCTAATGCATGTAAACGTGAACCAACAAAAAACGTCAAATGTATATAAAGTTATGAGAAGAAACTAGGAAAGATGAAACAGGTCTTTTGAGCAGATCATTTTTCTTTTTCTTTTTTCTTTTCTTTTCTTTCTTTTTTGAAACGGGGTCTCTCTATGTGGCCCAAGCTGGAGTGCAATGACTCTGCCTCCCGGGTTCAAGCGATTCTCCTTTCTCAGCCTCCCGAGTAGCTGGGACTACAGGGGCAAGACACCGCGTCCAGCTAATTTTTGTATTTTTAGTAGAGACGGGGTTTCACCACGCTGGTCAGGCTGGTCTTGAATTCCTGACCTCAGGTAATCCACCTGCTTCAGCCTCCCAAAGTTCTGGGATTACAGGCATGAGCCACCACGCCCGGCCCTGAACAGGTCATTTTTAAAAAGTCTTTTGTAAAGCCTTTGAAAAGGTAGTAAAATAGAAGAAAATTAAAATGTACATTAAAATAAAAATTAAATATAATTTCAGATTAAAAAGCACCAGAAACTAGAAATCCAAAATCTCAACATAAAAATGGATAAATGCCAGGCAAATGTGAAATTGAATTTGAACTGAGGAAATAAATTAAAGTAAAAGATAAAATCTTCTCAGATAAGAAAACTAAATTATAAGATACACAAGGGAGTACAGGGAAGGCCAGAATATAATAAGAACCAGAGAGAAGGAGCCAAGAAAATTCAACTGAATAAAGAAGGCATAAAATAGGAAGGAAACAAAAGTGATAAGAAAGATTGACAACTACAACTGCAGCAGGACTAATCTTTAAAAGAATAATCCAAGGAAACCTCCTCAAAATGAAAGATGACCTGAATTTACACATTTGCCACACACTTAGGAAAAATGAGCAGAATGGCCAACTCAAAACTTACCTTAACAGAAACAAGTGTTAATAATAAAGAAGACAAAATCCTCTGGTTCTTCGAGCAAAAAAGTCCTAATTACTAATAAAGGAAAAAAAATCATTTCAGCACTTGACTTCTTGATAATCACATCACATTGAAAGCAGAAAACAATGGAACAAAATTCTTAAGAAATAAGAACTTTGTGTCCAACCAAGATTTTCTTCAAATATAAAGTCTATAAAATGAATGAAGAACTCAGGAAACATTGACTAATGAGACATCAGCAAAAAACTAATTTAATATTGCAGATTTAAAACTAAAACAAAAGTGGGGTAATAATGAAAAATTGTATGTAAATGTTATGTGCTCTGATAAAGTTCAAAAAGAAACAGGACCAAAAAAATGGGAACAAAAGAAAGCAAATAATAGAAACCTCACTTAATGCCACATAGATAATAGGTAGAAGTCAAACAAAATTCTTTAAAGCTGACAAAGCTCGGGTAAAGGTCTAAACAAGGAAAAGGGTATTAGATATTAACATAATAGCAACAATGGAAAGCAAACACAAGACTTTCCAAATACTAGAAGTAATCCAATATTTTTAAAATAATGAAAACAGGTCACATAGTGGAAAACACAGGAAGTAGAACATAATATGACAGAGCTGAAACTGAGCAAATCAAATATATTAGTAAATTCAAATGGGCTTAACTTTAAGTTCCTTTGTAAAGAAAAATGTTTTCCGATTGGTTCAGAAAGCAAAATCGTACTATGTGCTATATGAAAAAGATACCCTTAGAACAACGTGATTCAGAAAGTCTAAAAATATAAGATAGGTATTGGAAGCAGGCAAATACAGACAAAATAAAGTAGGCATTTGGATCTCAATGTCTGACAAGGTCAAATTAAGAACAAAAGGTTTAAGAGTGAAATGAATGACACTTCATAATGCTGAAGGGCTGCTTCACAATGAAGGTACAATAGGTATTAATATGTGTGCTTCAAATAACATAATAGCAACTTTAACAAAGTAGAAAGTGCAAACAAAAACAGGATTATATTAGGCAAACTTTATATATATATATAAATTTATATATATAATTTATATATATATAATTTTTTTTTCCTGAGACAAGGTCGGGCTCTATTGCCCAGGCTGGAGTGCAGTGGCTCTTGGCTGACTGCAACCTCCACCTCCCAGGCTGAAGGCATCCTCTCACCTCAGTCTCCCTAGTAGCTAGAACTACAGGTGCACGCCACCACGCCTGGCTAATTTTTGTATTTTTTGTAGAGACAGGGTTTCGCCATGTTGCTCAGGTTGGACTCAAACTCATGAGCTCAAGTGATCCACCCACCTTGGCCTCCCAAAGTGCTAGGATTACAGGCGTAAGCCATCACTCCTCGCCTTAATATACCTTTTTAGTCTAAAATAGTTCACATGAACACATAAAAAAAGTTAGAATACAAAAGAACAATTCTGGTGTATCTAAAACATTAACCAAAAATGATGGTATATTAATTCACAAAAAATAACTTCAAATTGCATGAAATAGAAATGATATATTAGTCACAATGCAATAAAACTATAAATAAATAGAAATCAAAATAACAACAATAAAAATTATTCCAGAGAAATTCTTAAAATCCTCTGTTAAGCAACTCTTGAATCTAAGAGGAAATACAAAACAAGATGTATATTATCTAATAAATGACATAATGAAAATATACTTTAACAAATCTATAGGGCTCAATACAATATACGGAATATAATTAAGTGATTGGAGAAAATCCTTGCACTCAAATATTTATTTAAATATCAATAAGATATAAAAATAACTGAATTAATCTTAAACTTTAAAAAGATGGAAAAAATTCAAAGTAAACAAAAGGAAAATGGAATGATCTAATATAGAAAAAAGAAGATATTGATAAGTTAGAAAAAAATGGATTAATAATTTTTAAAAACCTGGATTGTGACAAAAACAACAAAATAAACAAATGCCTGGGTTCTTAATAAATAAAAATGAAAAACAAATGAACAAGATAACAAGGGTGCATTCATCACTGGAAAAAAATTAAAGAAATCTGATAAGAGATGACTTTGCATATCAAAATCACAAATCTTGATAACCACTACACACCTATTATAAAATCCAAATCCAAGACACTGACAACACTCCAAATCTACTCCATTTACTCCAAATGCTGGAGTAGATGTGGAGTAACAGAAACTCTCATTCATGGCTGGTGGAAATGCAATGATACAGCCACTTTAAATAGTTTGGCAGTTTCTTATAAAACTAAACAAACTCTAACTATACAGTTTAATAATTGTCACCCCTGGGATTCACCTTAAATTAAAACCTTATGTTCACACAAAAACCTGCACATACGTGTATGTGTATAGCAGCATAATTCACAAATGCCACAACTTGAAAGCTACCAAGATGTCCTTCAGTAGGTGAATGGATAAATAAACTGGTACATCAGACAAAGCAGTATTTTTCAAAACTAAAAAGAAATCAGCCATCAAGTCATGAAAAGACATGGAGAAAACTTAAATGCATATTACTAAATAAAACAAGCTAATCTGAAAAGACTACATACTATATGACATTCTGGAAAAAGCACAACTATGAAGAGAGTAAACAGCAGTTACTAGGGAGTAGGGTGAAGGGTGGGATCAATTCATGGCACACAGGTTTTTAGGGCTGTGGAGCTATTATTTATGATGATATAATGCTTGATACATGTTATTATAGATGTGTCAAAATCCATGGAACAAAAAATATCTAGGAATACAGCTAACCAGGTAAGTGAAAGATCTCTGCAAGGAAAACTACAAACCATTGCTCAAAGAAACCAGAGATGACACAAACAAATGGAAAAACATTCCATGTTCCTGAATTGGTAGACTCAATATCGTTAAAATGACCATACTGCCCAAAGAAATTTATAGATTCAATGCTATGCCTATTAAACTACCATTGACATTATTCACAGAACTAGAAAAAACTATTTTAAAATTTATACGGAACCAAAGAAAAGAGCCTGAATAGCCAAGGCAATCCTAAGCAAAAACAACGAAGCTGGAGGCATCATGCTACCCATCTTCAAGCTATACTACAGGGCTACAGTAACCAAAACAGCATGGTTCTGATACCAAGACAGACACATAGACCAATGAAACTAGATAGAGGGCCCAGAAATCAGACAGCACACCTGCAACTATCTGATCTTTGACAAACCTGACAAGAACAAGCAATGGGGAAAGGATTCTCTATTTGATAAATGGTGCTGGAATAACTGGCTAGCCATACATGGAAGATTGAAATTAAACCCATTCCTTGCACTGAATACAAGATATAAACTTAAGATAGATTAAGACCTAAATGTAAAATCCAAAACTATACAAACCTGGAAGACAACCTAGGCAATACCATTCAGGACATAGGCACGGGCAAAGATTTCATGACAAAGACAACAAAAGCAATTGCAACAAAAGTAAAAATTGCCAAATGGGATCTAATTAAATTAAGGAGTTTCTGCACAGAAAAATAAACTATCAAAAGCATGAACAGACAACATACAGAATGGGAGGAAACTTTTGCAGCCTATCCATCTGACAAAGGTCTAATATCCATGATCCACAAGGAACTTAAACAAATTTACAAGAAAAAAACAACCCCATTAAAACATGGGTGAATGACATGAACAGACACTTCTCAAAAAAAGACATACATGTGGCCAACAAGCTTATGAAAAAAAGCACAACCTCACTGATCATTAGAGAAATGCAAATCAAAACCACAATGAGATACCATCTCATGCCAGTCAGAATGGCTATTATTCAAAAGTCAAAATATAACAGATGCTGGCGAGGCTATGGAGAAAAAGGATGCTTATACAATGTTGATGGGAGTGTAAAGTAGTTCAGCCATTGCGGAAGACAGTGTGGTGGTTCTTCAAAGACCTAAAGACAGAAATACCATTTGACTCAACAATCCCATTACTGGGTATATACTCATGGGAATATAAATCATTCTATTATAGAGACATGCACACATATGTTCATTGCAGCACTATTCACAATAGCAAAGACATGGAATCAAGCTGAATGCCCATTAGTGATAGACTGGATAAAAGAAAATGTGGTGCATATACATCATGGAATACTATGCAGCCATAAAAAAGAATGACATCATGTCCTTTACAGACACAGAGCTGGAGCCCATTATTCTCAGAAAACTAACACAGAAACAGAAAACCAAACACTGCATGTTCTCACTTACAAGTGGGAGCTGAATGATAACACATGGACAGATAGAGGGAAATGACACACACTGGGGCCTTTCGGGGGGTAAAGGGTGGAAAGAGGGAGAGGATCAGGAAAAACAACTAATGGGTACTAGGATTAGTACCTGGGTTATGAAATAATCTGTACAAGAAATCTCTATGACACAAGTTTACCTATGTAACAAACCTACACTTGTACCCCTGAATTTAAAATAAAAGTTAACAAAAAGAAAGAATGAAAAGACTTACTATTTTATAGTACAATAGGGTGACTGTAGTCAATAATAATTTAGTTGCACATTTTAAAATAACTAAAAGAGTAACTGGATTGTAATTGGGCACTTACAACTATCTGACCTTCAACAAACCTGACAAAAACAATTAATGGGGAAAGGATTCCCTATTCAACAAATGGTACTGGGACAACTGGCTAGCTATATGCAGAAGATTGTAACTGGACCCCTTCTTACACCATATACAAAAATTAACTTAAGATAGATTAGAGACTTAAATGTAAAACCCAAAAGTATGAAAATCCTGAAAGATAACCTAGGGTTGTAACTGGATTCTTTGTAACCCAAAGAATAAATGCTTGAGAAAACGGATACCCCATTCTCCATGATGTGAGTATTTCACATTGCATGCCTGTATCAAAACGTCTCGTGTACCTCATAAATATGCACACCTACAACGTACCCACAAAAATTAAAAATTAAAAAAAGTGCGTGGTAGGGGATCAAAGTCTACATAATAAAGGATGGCTATTTGTCTCTAAAAATTCACAATCTTGTTCTTATAAGTATTAAGAACCTTAAAAATTGTTCATAATCTTTCAAGTTATAAAAGAATGTAATCTTCTGGCTTGCTTGCTCTTTTTGTTGTTAATTTAGCGAAGAAGATATAATAAAATACAGAAATATAAAAAATCCTAATTATATATCATTATATAATTATAATTATATATTTTGAAATATGATATATTTTCTTGTTTACTGAAGAAAAATCATATCCATACACACTGAAAAAGCAGAATTCACTACTCATTTCTGATAAAATTCATTATTAAATGTGAATATCAGGAAATAATGAGAGTCAGAATTGTAAAAGACAAGATTAAATGATTTACATTTGAAGACAAGATGACAGTACAATTGGTTGTTAACCTCTGTGAAAGGCTTTTGGGAGATATGTTTTACGGGAAATTGAAGCTAGGGGCAATGTGATTTACGTAGTGATATCTTTTGCAGTAAAAGGTAGGGAGATCAAAATATATATCCATATTTGCTTATTCCTACAAAAAGAGACACAAGAAGCATTAACTAGAAAATAATCAAAATAAATGGATATGGGGAAAGGCATGAAAGAAGTGGAGAGAATAGCGTTGAAAGTGAGTATTCTTTGAGGAAAGCATTTTAAGAAATATTTTTGTTTTTCAAACTGTATAAGTTTTGCATATTTTTTAAATATAAAATTATCAAGTCCTGAAATTAAAAATAAATGGAAACAAACTAGGAATTCGTTTGTGGCATCATTTATGAGTTCCTTTATTTCACATATTCCCACCTTCTAATGCCATCACATTGGCAGTTAGGATTCAAGATATGAATTTTCAGGGGACATAAACATTCTGTGCATAACTTGAGTTTCTGATCACTTGATTAGGGTTTTCTTGGCATTCTCCTTTCCTCTTAAATTTTACACCTGAGGTGACTGCCAATCTCACCTCACTCTAATCTGGCCCTGAGAGACACAGGAAGAGATCATCTTCCTGAGGTGATTTTTCATTTGCTTCTGCCAAGGGTCTATAGAGACAAGCACTCTGGAATCCCTTACAGATTGAAGTAGTATCTCAATTTCAGAGATTTAGATACTAGTACCCTGAGCAGCAGCCTCAGCGAAGCCTGTCTGCTTATGTTCTTCCTTGTTTCCAGACTGAAGCCCACTGTTGTAATCTTGTACTTGTGAAACCTTTCGTCTCATCCCTGTGTGGCACAAGCTCCCTTTAGTAGCTCAGGTTCCTGGGCTTCTCTCCTCTTCTGTGTCCTGGATGAGAAAATATTAATTATTTCATCAACTTCTTTTCCACTCCAGATTTACTAATTGTCCTCAATGAAAGATTTGATCTGAGTGACCTAATCAGCCACCAACGGTAGTAGAAATCCAAGATCATTTTATAAAACCTAAATTATTTGCCTTAGATATTCTGGCTATTTAAAATCCCGCAAATACTCACATAACTCCACCAATCTTTTGCCATACAAACAGATAAGACTATTTTGCTTATTAAGAAAAGGTTTTTCTCCGAGAAAAGTTCTAAAAGATATTCAGTAAGATCTCTTTAAAGATCTGTTTAAAAGATATTCTAAAAGATATTCAATAAGATATCAGGGAGTTCAAAAATCATGTCATCTATTACTGTGGAATGTTTGCTCATGAAAGGGATTCTATTTTTAATGACTTTATTCCTCACCTAAAGAGCTCTTGGAAATCATTTGTCATTTTCTTTGTTTACTAACTTGATAGAGAGGGAATTTAAATCTTTTTGGAATCAAAAATACTTTGAGACTCTAAGGAAAACAATATAAACTTTTCTATAGAAATATTTATCTATGTTCAAATATTTGCATATATAAATTCAATGGGTTTCTTATACCTCAGATATACATTACCAAAATAATATATATGAACAATTATTTGAACATTAATTGCTTCTCAGTCAATAACATATGTTCATTTTATATTAGTGACACCTAAAACATTTTCATGTTTTTGGCCAACTCTACCATAGCTTGGAATGTTCCATTTGTTCTGTGGATTATGTGAGTAGTAATATGATACTAACAGAGAAAAGCATACGATAGAATAAGAACAGTGGAAGAAAATATCAAAATAACGTTACGTTAAGCAGTAAAAAATACAAAAGAGGAAGAAGAAGGGGGGTTTGCAAAATAGCCGTACCTGGAAAGATTGAATGTGCTTGGTAACAGATTCATGAACTCAGCATTCAAAAATAGTCTTAGTAAATACTGAGTAAAGACTGTGCCTGTTCCATTGATGTAATTCCACTGTTAAGCCACTGAGCAGTGTGCAATACATGTATTAGAAAATTCCACAAAAGAGAATTGAAGTGAGTGTGTTGAACGACAGCTGTCTAGAAGAATGGGAAATGGAAACACACTGTGGTAGGAAAAACAAAACAAAACAGGACAATGGGAGGTGATTTGTAGAGACATGATCCAGTGAGAAGAAGGGCTGAGAATCTTCTTTTGAGCTAAAAATTTTTGGTTAAAATATTAACCTATGGGTTAAAACTAATTTATATATGGAAAAAGGGGCCTCAACTTACGTGTAATAGAGAAGGCTCCATCTCCATAGTTGCCTTATGATTCTTTCAGAGCTCCCAGGGCACAAAGGCAGTTGTTAGTGTAACTCGCAGCAGGTAAGAAATTAAATCATTTGGGTGGGTGTGGGGGGGGGTCATTGAACTTTAAACATAATTTTTATTAGTTATTTCAATTCATTGTTCTCCACACACCACAAGGATCATTATACAGATTCGTAAAAAGCTGGGAAATTATTTTCCCAGAAGGTTCATATGTAGCTGGTATAACAATTACCTTGACCTAAAGGATTAAAGTAATTCTGAGTATATTAATCCCTCCTGAGCTACACAAAACTTTTTTTGATTTATACCGGAACCATCAGAGCTGTCCTGATGCTTGCAAAATATGCAATGGTAGTTGAATTTGGCACCTCATATTTATTTGCGTCAAGATTTCATTAGGATGCTGAAATCAAAATATTGCTATCAATATTCACTATTTATCCAATAATTCTAAAGTACAGTCATGCGTCGCTTAATAGTGGGAATAAGTCCTGAGCAATGTGCTTTTAGGTGATTTCATTATTGTGCATACAACATAAAGTGTATTTACACAAACCTAGATGGTATAGCCTACTACATACCTGGGCTATATGGTAGAACATATTGCTCCTAGGCTAAACACCTGTACAGCAGATTACTGGGCAATTGTAATACAATGTGAAATATTTGTGTATTTAAAGATAGACAAAGTAAAGTAAAAATACAGTATAAAAAATAAAAATGGTATACCTGTATAAAGCATTTACCATGAATAGAGCTTGCAGGACTAGAAGTTGCTCTGGGTGAATTAATCAGTGAGTGGTGGTTGAATGCGAAGGCCTCGGACATTTGTGTACACTACTGTAGACTTTATAAACACTGTTTACTTCTGCTACACTAAATTTATTAAAAATCTTTTTTCTTCAATAACTTTAGCTTATTGTAGCTATTTTATTTTATAAACTTTAATTTTTAAATTTTTTATTCTAAAAACACAAACACATTGTACATATGTACAAAAATAATTGCTTTATTTTCTATTTCTATAATTTTTTTTCTTGCTTTACTTTTAAAATGTTTTGTTAAAAACTAAAACACAAGCACACACATTTGCCTAGGCCTATACAGGTTCAGGATGATCAATATCACTGTCATCCACCTCCACATCTTGTTCCACTGAGAGGTCTTCAGGGGCAGTAATATACATGGAGCTGTCGCCTCCTATGACTACAATGCCTTCTTCTAGAATACCTCCTGAAGGACCTGCCTGAGGTTGTTTTACAGTTAACTGGCTTTGTTTTGTTTTGTTTTGTTTGTTTGTTTGTTTACATATAAGTAGAAGTACACTTTAAAAATAATGATTAAAAAGTATACTATAGTAAATATGCAGACCAGTAATATAGTCATTTATTATTGTTAAATATTATGCAGCTTATATATTATATATGCTAAATTTATACTACTGGCGGTGCAGTAGGTTTGTTCACACCAGCGTCACCAGAAGAACACATGTAATGCATTGTACCTTATGACAACTAGTCACTAAATGATAGGAATTTTTCAGCTCCATTATAATCTGACAGAATCACCACTCTATGTGTGGTTCATCATTGACCAAAACGTCATTATGTGGCACATGACTGAATGTTAACTTTCAGTCAGATGTTAGTAATTCCATTAGAAATAATCCTCCCTCACCTACCCCTTCCCCCCACCACCTTCTGCCTCATATATAACTTTGGAGAAAAAGGAAGAAATGACTCAAAGCAGAAACAAATCTTTTAACAGTTGTAACAAGAAATATGCAGAATAAATTATTTTGTAAACATCAGAACTGCATGTTCTTAAGTGTGAAAGTGTTCTCTCTCTTTTTTAAAAATGAAAACTGATAGTATCAGTGTAGAAGACTTGACTGGATAGTAATTTAAAATGGGAAGTAAAATGACTATATATATATATTCCTGCATCATAAACAAAAATGCATTTATTTCAGTGATTTTTTTCCTTCTGGATTCATAGGTATGCTGTTACTTATTGAACTTTTCAGAAACATGAAAGATCTTGCTTATTGACAATTTCTAATTTTCCTGAACTGCTATGTGTTTTTTCTAGGCAAAAGTCATCATATACCTCTGTTCATAACCTGAATAAACAGAATATTTTTAATATATCAAGTTGCTAGCCACCTTTCAACTGGTGCCTTCAGGATAGAAGACTGTGATGAAATGTCAGGAAATGATGTGAATTAGCCAAATTCTGCTTTAATAGGTTTTATTTTTAT
The DNA here is from genome assembly GCF_000001405.40 of Homo sapiens. Taxonomy (NCBI): domain Eukaryota; kingdom Metazoa; phylum Chordata; class Mammalia; order Primates; family Hominidae; genus Homo; species Homo sapiens. The sequence continues at coordinate 95,770,774 of NC_000006.12, read as the reverse complement.
TTAGGTACAATAAAGCCAACAGATGAAGAGACAACTGCCATTGAAAAGATAATTTGTTATACTCTTAGATCCCAAAAAAAGGAAGGTCATACTAGGAATCACCAAGCTTGGCCATGAGGCAGAAGGAGAGCAACAGACTATGGTCCAGATCCTTTATTGTGGTTTCTACAGGAAGGAACAGGCAAAGCAGGGTAAGCAGCCTTACAATTGGCTAGTTTGGAATAATTTCAGCAGGCTCTGGGGCATAAGGGCTGGTTCTGGTTGTCTGGTACCTGGTCCTGGGGTGATCAGGGCTGATGTCTAGTGCCCCTGAGTGTGAAAGCCTGATAAACCGGTGATTGGAGGAGTGGACTTAATTGGCTGCTCAGAAAGGGAACTGAACAGCCTCTATCCAGGGCATGCAAACTGGATCAAGACGCTATTTAAAAAACTATATACAATTGATCTTTTGATGTTTCAACATCAGTTTTGAGCTCTATTATCTGAGACATTTGAATGACAAGAATAGTAGAGAAGTTCAGAGAGTAGGGCACAAGATGCCCTGAAGAGTCTAGAAAATATTTCAGTATGAAAGTAAAAAGAAAGAACACAAGTAGAAGTATAAGGAGTCCTGGTATGCTGGCTTGTAACTAAGCTTCTGATTTTTATGTCATTAACCCAGAAAAGGTGAAATTTCTGAGGTCTCTAATAATATCTTGGTGGTATTATGTGTGCATATATATAATTTTGATATATTTTTCTGGTCAAGATGGTGGCCAGCTCTAGCAGTTTTGTTGCTGGAGGGTTTGAACTTAGTTTAGTAAAGGATGTTAAGATTAGTGTCATTTGTGTGTAACCAAGGGGAAGGGGTGGTTGTAGCAGTCATGGATGGAGACACGAGGCAGTGGGCCTTGGTAGAAAGGTGAGGTAATCAAAGAAGAAGGCACTGGGGAGTGAGTAATTCTCTCTTCAGATGGTCAAGGAATTGAATGATAAGAGGAAGATGCCTTCTGGGGAAAACAATCATCTCCATTCATTTTTAGAATGGCACAGATTTTAGTATCCTGTACCTGATTTTCTTTTAGGCATGAATGTGTAGCGGTGTATGTTTTGGGAGAGAGCAAGGAGTGTACAAGGATCACAGGCTAAGCAGACAGCAATCTCAGGAAATATAATAGGATTTCTAATATCAAAGGAAGAAAAGCAATAAATGTTTCATGCCCAATTTGTCAGCACCTTAAGAGAGGCAGCCCGTGGGAGTTACAGGGACAGGGATTTCAGGTTCCTAGGTGAAGTCACAGGGAGCGATGTCACATCCGGTGGTGAGCCCCTGGGCCACGGTGATGTCATGTAGAATGTGAGTTCATTGTCACCAGGTGATTCGATACTCTTTTCAAGTGGATATCCACTGCAGAAGATATGGGTTTTGTTTTTGTGCCTATGTGGACTCCAAATGAGACTAGGCCACTTGTGTATATCTGAAGGCAAGACTGGCCTGAGAATTTGGTAAATAAATGTCATTTAAGTCAACAGGCTTCTGGGTGACAGCTAGCAAAGGCAATGTTGGCACCCATGTGCTGTAGTAAGGGACAAAAGCACCAGAACTCTACTGGCACAATTAAATTCCCCATTAAAGATGGCAGAATCTAAAGTTTCTGATATTTAAGGTTTTGCCCAGATTGGTAATGAAAGGGATTATGTTGCAAATAGGTTTTAAATCATATGGCCTGATTTGGATATATGTTGTTAATAGGGTATCAGGTTGTTTAAAACAGCGGTCCCCATCCTTTTTGGAAGAAAATCTTTTCCACGGCCGGACAAGGTGGAGCAGGGGATAGTTTTGGAATGAAACTCTTTGATATCATGTCATCAGGCACTAGATTATCATAAGGAGCACACAACTTGGATCCTTCACATGCAGTTCACAATAAGATTCACGCTCCTATGAGAATCTATTGCCACTGCTGATCTGAAAGGAGGCAGAGCTCAGGTGGTAATGCTGGCTAGCTCAAGGCTCACCTCCTGCTGTGCAGCAGGGTTGCTAACAGGCCTCGACCAGAGCAGTACCAGTCTGCCGCCCAGAGGTTGAGGACCTCAGGTTTAAAAGAAATCCAGACATTAATATTTGGGTCCCTTCAAAGGAAAGATTAACAGTCAGGCCTACACATTCAACAATTTGCTTTCTAGTGTATCACTCTTAAATTTTATGAAAAGAAAGTTGAAAACAATTTTTAAAAAGGAAGAGGGCTTAGAGGCATCAGATAAATGCAGCAGAAGGAAACTTCTAAAATCAACATCTATCATTATTTTCCTTTATTCTGAGATAACGGAAGATATTTTTGCATAATATGAGAACAAAATGCTATGAAAAGTTAACAGTAAACAAAGAAATCCCTTAAAAATAAAAATATAACAACCAAAAGCTTTTAAAAATTAATTTGAACGTTCTTGGGATCTTACAGATATGGAAAGCAGATTAGGGTTGGCACGGGTTAGGGATGAAGGACCAGAGAGGAAATGGTGAGGCTACAGGTGTAGCATGAGGCATAACTTTGTGGAGCTGGGACAGTTCTGAATCTTGATTGTGGTTACAAGTCTAGACTTGAGATAAAATTGCACAAAACTACACACACATACACATACACATGAGTACATGTAAAATGGGAAATCTGAATAAGGTCTGGGGGTTATATCAATGTCAATTTCCTGCTTTTGATATTGTATTATGCTGTAGTTATGTAAGTTGTTACCAAACAAAAGGAATGTCAGTTATTAACTCCAGGTAAAAACAAGTCGAACAAGAAAGGTAAGTTATATTAATTGGTTCAAAAGTGAACAATATTTATGTAGTTATACATTAAACATTATTATTAAATTAAAAATTGTGATATAAGCGGTATTGGAAAAAATGAGTAGTGGCTAAGTGGGAAGATGGGTTTTTAAAAGCTAATGGTTTTTCTCTATATAATAATTAAAATTGATAAATCAACAAATAATGCTATAAGAATATTACTTTGAAATGTACAGCTAAATATAAAAAGAAATATTTATAAGATTTGAAAGAACAATTGGCCCTGGAAACTACTATTTTTTATTATAATCTTATTTAATTATTTTGACTGTGAGCATGCATTACTCCAGCAAGAATAAAATTTAATCATAGTATAAAATATATTAAAGAAAACTTATGAAACAAGAATTTTTTTATCATGTTATTTTAAGGAATAATAGATAAAATGATATTACCTCAAAATAAAGTTGGATGAAATATGAAGAAGATGTAATTTTCAGCTCACCTAATCACTTTATACCCAAATCATGTTCATTGTTATCAGGTTATATTGTTTGGAGTCACCTCAGATCCTGTTAGGAATTCTAGATATTGACATAGCGATTTTCTAGTTCAATGGTCAACATACTGGATTATAAATCCCTAATGGGGAATCAACACCGTCTTATTTATCTTGTTAATTCACCCTCAGAACTTTTTCTCACCATGTATTTGTTTAATTTAACTGGAAAACAGACAAAAAGCAGAAGACTAATGGCAGTTGTTTTTATTTCATAAGCAAACATGAGATCAGATCAGATTCATTTAGTGTGCCCCATGTGAATGAAAGTAGACATATAAAACAATAAGAAAATGAAAAATAAGGATGTGTATGTTGATGCATTTTTAGATGGAGTACTTTTTTATTATTAAGACGCTGAAACCAACATCTTTACAACAGCAGATAAATCACAGAGACTAGAATCTGACAAAGAGCTGATACACATTTTCCTAAATGAGATTTAAAAGAAAATATTAGTGAATTTTAAAGTGAAAAAAGTTTTGTTTCTGGTCAGAGATTTTCAGCATTAGTCTTTACCATTTGGGGTGTTAAATTTGAGCTTTTAAGAGGTATGTTATCACTTGTGAAAATGTGAAAAAGAAAGTCATTATTTTTTTTTCTAGTAGGACTGTATTTGCGATCATATACTTCGATCTGCTGCGTACCCAAAAGCCATAGTTTATATAGTTTGGACTTCAGTAAGTTTGCCACCTTGTTGATGAGACTGGGCTTAATTTTCTTTATTCATAAAATTATTCAATAATAATTTCAAGCAAAAAGCAAATGCATGATAGAATAGTAGACAATGCATAGTACTTAGAATATTTAAAGCAAAATAAAATAGCAATTTCAGAGGGAGGTTAAGTTGGGAAAAGCTTGCTGGAGATAACAAAACTTGCTTATGACAAACTATAAGAAAAAAGGTCTAGGGTGGATGGGGAGATAAGTATCTGTTTTTTTCTGGTTGAAGCAGGGCTTTTGTAGTAATGTAGCAATGAGATCAGACAGATAGAATGAGAGACTAGCTTAATGTTTCATGTTGCACTGATTTTCAGGATAACTGCTCCAAATGAAAAGTCTTTTGGTCACTAAGGCACATCAAATAGAAGATGAAGAAAACCATTCAGGATTTGTTCCCCAATCCTCAGGCACATGTGCACCTTGCAAATGTGAGCTGGCCAAATATTCCCTGAGTGCTTGCAGTGTCCTTTACTTACCATGTGCCCAGACCTGCTTTTTTTTTTCTTTTTAATAGTTCTCTTCTGCTTGAACAAGTTATTGTGGATTAGATTCTGAGATAGTGAAGATAATGTCACTTCTATAGCCAAAGCTTGAGCTTCAAACCAGCTGCTGGTCCTCATCCAGAGCTTACTCACCTGAAGATCCTGGACTGCTTTTCCCTTTCTCCAATTCTTTATCTTTGTCACTACCTGGACAAACACAAAATACGAGTCAGGTCAGAGAGAGTCTTGAAGTGAAGAAATAGTGTTACTTAAGGAGAACCTGAGAAATCTACATTAACTTCTTTGTTTTATCGATGAGTTAACTTGACCTGAGAGAAGTAGGAGCATGTTCAAAGTTATGCAACTTGACAGGGGGGACCAAACAGAGATTAGAGTCCAAGTCTCTGAATTACTAAACTAGCCTTTTCTTCTAATCTGAACTTTTATCAACTAGTATGGCAGGGCTAGACTGGCTACGTGAATACCACATGATTTACAAATTGTATGTGCATCTGTAAATAAAAGCATTCAGTGTTTGGTTTCAGGCATGAAAAGCTAATAATGAGATAAGAAAATAAAATACTTAGTGAATTTACTTAACTACAGTTGAATCTGATGAAGAATGAAATATCAATTCATGGTCACAGCCACAGTTTGTAATTGACAAGGAAAATGATCCTGGCCTTCACTGTCTGTGCTGCCCATAGGAGAAATATTGTGGAATACTTAGTAGCCACACATTTTACAGTTTTGCTATTCAGTCTATAACAATAATCATGACCTCCATATCCCAATGATTGGCCTCATCATCCTAAATTAATTGCAAATGCATATTTAGGAGTTAACATTGCCAGGTCCCTGTAGAAAACAAATTTCGTGAATTATGTTTTAGTAGTGGCATATCAAGATTCAGACCTAGATAGAACTAAATGGAATTTCTCTGCTTGTTAGTGAATGGAAGACATTTCAGTACCATGACTAATCATGACAGATTCTAGTAACACCTAAACATAAATTTATTCTGTCTAATCAACTCTTAAGAATGCATCACCTTCCAACTGAACTCTAATAACTCAATCTAAATGCTCCAGCCCTTTTCAATCATATCTAGAAAATCTTTGGCTATTAGGAACATTAACCAAATTTATCTTCCTTTCCACAAATACAGACAATTTAGGATAGAATAAAAATACTCTGTTGCCATTTTAATAAAAAGGTGTTATTAAATTTTATTTTAAAAATCTAATAGAAGTGAAGAGGAATTCTGATTCTCCTTTTGTTAAGCTGATCTCTGCATCTCTCCTGCCATCTATTCACTCTTCTAAATCTAGACGTTGGTTTATCTAGATAGAAATGCTTTGAAGCACAATCTAACTGAAAATATTTGACTGTATATACAGGTATATCATTTGCAAATTTAGCATGCAGTCCTGATATGCATATTGGAAAAAATTGTTTGAATTTCTTGAATTCTATTTTCCAACTACTCCTTATGTTATTGTAGGCCTTATCATCCTTGGCCAGATGCTAATTTTCCAGATCAGTGGTCCTGCGGTCAATGCCTGAAATACAAGAGGACTTGGTATTCAATTTCTTTTTCATAATTTCTGACAGAATTTCTCAAAGAATGTCAAATCTTACATTAAATACTACACTTTGTGCCAGTTAACAAGTGCTTAAGCTCCTTCCTATAGTCAGGGACTTACTCTTAAAGTTGAGAGGTTGGAAAGAAGGGGCACAAGAAAAAATATCTCTTCATTGACACTCTGCCAGAGTTAAATAATTAAAATTGAAAGGTGATGGCATAGTACTTTCTTTATGTCAGGTATTTTTTTTTATTATACTTTAAGTTTTAGGGTACATGTGCCCATTGTGCAGGTTAGTTACATATGTATACATGTGCCATGCTGGTGCACTGCACCCACTAACTCGTCATCTAGCATTAGGTATATCTCCCAATGCTATCCCTCCCCCATCCCGCCACCCCACAACAGTCCCCAGAGTGTGATATTCCCCTTCCTGTGTCCATGTGATCTCATTGTTCAATTCCCACCTATGAGTGAGAATATGCGGTGTTTGGTTTTTTGTTCTTGCAATAGTTTACTGAGAATGATGTTTTCCAATTTCATCCATGTCCCTACAAAGGACATGAACTCATCCTTTTTTATGGCTGCATAGTATTCCATGGTGTATATGTGCCACATTTTCTTAATCTAGTCTATCATTGTTGGACATTTGGGTTGGCTACAAGTCTTTGCTATTGTGAATAATGCCGCAATAAACATACGTGTGCATGTGTCTTTATAGCAGCATGATTTATAGTCATTTGGGTATATACCCAGTAATGGGATGGCTGGGTCAAATGGTATTTCCAGTTCTAGATCCCTGAGGAATCGCCACACTGACTTCCACAATGGTTGAACTAGTTTACAGTCCCACCAACAGTGTAAACGTGTTCCTATTTCTCCACATCCTCTCCAGCACCTGTTGTTTCCTGACTTTTTAATGATTGCCATTCTAACTGGTGTGAGATGGTATCTCATTGTGGTTTTGATTTGCATTTCTCTGATGGCCAGTGATGATGAGCATTTTTTCATGTGTCTTTTGGCTGCATAAATGTCTTCTTTTGAGAAGTGTCTGTTCATGTCCTTTGCCCACTTTTTGATGGGGTTGTTTGTTTTTTTCTTGTAAATTTGTTTGAGTTCATTGTAGATTCTGGATATTAGCCCTTTGTCAGATGAGTAGGTTGCGAAAATTGTCTCCCATTTTGTAGGTTGCCTGTTCACTCTGATGGTAGTTTCTTTTGCTATGCAGAAGCTCTTTAGTTTCATTAGATCCCATTTGTCAATTTTGTCTTTTGTTGTCATTGCTTTTGGTGTTTTAGACATGAAGTCCTTGCCCATGCCTATGTCCTGAATGGTAATGCCTAGGTTTTCTTCTAGGGTTTTTATGGTTTTAGGTCTAACGTTTAAGTCTTTAATCCATTTTGAATTAATTTTTGTATAAGGTGTAAGGAAGGGATCCAGTTTCAGCTTTCTACATATGGCTAGCCAGTTTTCCCAGCACCATTTATTAAATAGGGAATCCTTTCCCCATTGCTTGTTTTTCTCAGGTTTATCAAAGATCAGATAGTTGTAGATATGCGGCGTTATTTCTGAGGGCTCTGTTCTGTTCCATTGATCTATATCTCTGTTTTGGTACCAGTACCATGCTGTTTTGGTTACTGTAGCCTTGTAGCATAGTTTGAAGTCAGGTAGTGTGATGCCTCCAGCTTTGTTCTTTTGGCTTAGGATTGACTTGGCGATGTGGGCTCTTTTTTGGTTCCATATGAACTTGAAAGTAGTTTTTTCCAATTCTGTGAAGAAAGGCATTGGTAGCTTGATGGGGATGGCATTGAATCTGTAAACTACCTTGGGCAGTATGGCCATTTTCACGATATTGATTCTTCCTACCCATGAGCATGGAATGTTCTTCCATTTGTTTGTATCCTCTTTTATTTCGTTGAGCAGTGGTTTGTAGTTCTCCTTGAAGAGGTCCTTCACATCCCTTGTAAGTTGGATTCCTAGGTATTTTATTCTCTTTGAAGCAATTGTGAATGGGAGTTCACTCAAGATTTGGCTCTCTGTTTGTCTGTTGCTGGTGTATAAGAATGCTTGTGATTTTTGTACATTGATTTTGTATCCTGAGACTTTGCTGAAGTTGCTTATCAGCTTAAGGAGATTTTGGGCTGAGACAATGGGGTTTTCTAGATATACAATCATGTCGTCTGCAAACAGGGACAATTTGACTTCCTCTTTTCCTAATTGAATACCCTTTATTTCCTTCTCCTACCTAATTGCCCTGGCCAGAACTTCCAACACTATGTTGAATAGGAGTGGTGAGAGAGGGCATCCCTGTCTTGTGCCAGTTTTCAAAGGGAATGCTTCCAGTTTTTGCCCATTCAGTATGATATTGGCTGTGGGTTTGTCATAGATAGCTCTTATTATTTTGAAATACGTCCCATCAATACCTAATTTATTGAGAGTTTTTAGCATGAAGGGTTGTTGAATTTTGTCAAAGGTTTTTCTGCATCTATTGAGATAATCATGTGGTTTTTGTCTTTGGCTCTGTTTATATGCTGGATTACATTTATTGATTTGCGTATATTGAACCAGCCTTGCATCCCAGGGATGAAGCCCACTTGATCATGGTGGATAAGCTTTTTGATGTGCTGCTGGATTCGTTTTGCCAGTATTTTATTGAGGATTTTTGCATCAATGTTCATCAAGGATATTGGTCTAAAATTCTCTATTTTTGTTGTGTCTCTGCCTGGCTTTGGTATCAGAATGATGCTGGCCTCATAAAATGAGTTAGGGAGGATTCCCTCTTTTTCTATTGATTGGAATAGTTTCAGAAGGAATGGTACCAGTTCCTCCTTGTACCTCTGGTAGAATTCGGCTGCGAATCCATCTGGTCCTGGACTCTTTTTGGTTGGTAAGCTATTGATTATTGCCACAATTTCAGCTCCTGTTATTGGTCTATTCAGAGATTCAACTTCTTCCTGGTTTAGTCTTGGGAGAGTGTATGTGTTGAGGAATTTATCCATTTCTTCTAGATTTTCTAGTTTATTTGCGTAGAGGTGTTTGTAGTATTCTCTGATGGTAGTTTGTATTTCTGTGGGATTGGTGGTGATATCCCCTTTATCATTTTTTATTGCATCTATTAGATTCTTCTCTCTTTTTTTCTTTATTAGTCTTGCTAGCAGTCTATCAATTTTGTTGATCCTTTCAAAAAACCAGCTCCTGGATTCATTACTTTTTTGAAGGGTTTTTTGTTTCTCTATTTCCTTCAGTTCTGCTCTGATTTTAGTTATTTCTTGCCTTCTGCTAGCTTTTGAATGTGTTTGCTCTTGCTTTTCTAGTTCTTTTAATTGTGATGTTAGAGTCTCAATTTTGGATCTTTCCTGCTTTCTCTTGTGGGCATTTAGTGCTATAAATTTCCCTCTACACACTGCTTTGAATGTGTCCCAGAGATTCTGGTATGTTGTGTCTTTGTTCTCGTTGGTTTCAAAGAACATCTTTATTTCTGCCTTCATTTCGTTATGTACCCTGTAGTCATTCAGGAGCAGGTTGTTCAGTTTCCATGTAGTTGAGCGGTTTTGAGTGAGATTCTTAATCCTGAGTTCTAGTTTGATTGCACTGTGGTCTGAGAGATAGTTTGTTATAATTTCTGTTCTTTTACATTTGCTGAGGAGAGCTTTACTTCCAAGTATGTGGTCAATTTTGGAATAGGTGTGGTGTGGTGCTGAAAAAAATGTATATTCTGTTGATTTGGGGTGGAGAGTTCTGTAGATGTCTATTAGGTCCACTTGGTGCAGAGCTGAGTTCAATTCCTGGGTATCCTTGTTGACTTTCTGTCTCGTTGATCTGTCTAATGTTGACAGTGGGGTGTTAAAGTCTCCCATTATTAATGTGTGGGAGTCTAAGTCTCTTTGTAGGTCACTCAGGACTTGCTTTATGAATCTTGGTGCTCCTGTATTGGGTGCATATATATTTAGGATAGTTAGCTCTTCTTGTTGAATTGATCCCTTTACCATTATGTAATGACCTTCTTTGTCTCTTTTGATCTTTGTTGGTTTAAAGTCTGTTTTATCAGAGACTAGTATTGCAACCCCTGCCTTTTTTTGTTTTCCATTTGCTTGGTAGATCTTCCTCCATCCTTTTATTTTGAGCCTATGTGTGTCTCTGCACGTGAGATGGGTTTCCTGAATACAGCACACTGATGGGTCTTGAGTCTTTATCCAATTTGCCAGTCTTTGTCTTTTAATTGGAGCATTTAGTCCATTTACATTTAAAGTTAATATTGTTATCTGTGAATTTGATCCTGTCATTATGATGTTAGCTGGTTCTTTTGCTGGTTAGTTGATGCAGTGTCTTCCTAGTCTTGATGGTCTTTACATTTTGGCATGATTTTGCAGCAGCTGGTACCAGTTGTTCCTTTCCATGTTTAGCACTTCCTTCAGGAGCTCTTTTAGGGCAGGCCTGGTGGTGACAAAATCTCTTAGCATTTGCTTGTCTGTAAAGTATTTTATTTCTCCTTCGCTTATGAAGCTTATTTTGGCTGGATATGAAATTCTGGGTTGAAAATTTTTGTCTTTAAGAATGTTGTATATTGGCCCCCACTCTCTTCTGTCTTGTAGAGTTTCTGCTGAGAGATCCGCTGTTAGTCTGATGGGCTTCCCTTTGAGGGTAACCCGACCTTTCTCTCTGGCTGCCCTTAACATTTTTTCCTTCATTTCAACTTTGGTGAATCTGACAATTATGTGTCTTGGAGTTGCTCTTCTCGAGGAGTATCTTTGAGGCGTTCTCTGTATTTCCTGAATCCGAATGTTGGCCTGCCTTGCTAGATTGGGGAAGTTCTCCTGGATAATATCCTGCAGAGTGTTTTCCAACTTGGTTCCATTCTCCCCATCACTTTCAGGTACACCAATCAGACGAAGATTTGGTCTTTTCACATAGTCCCATATTTCTTGGAGGCTTTCCTCATTTCTTTTTATTCTTTTTTCTCTAAACTTCCCTTCTCACTTCATTTCACTCATTTCATCTTCCATCGCTGATACCCTTTCTTCCAGTTGATCGCATCAGCTCCTGAGGCTTCTGCATTCTTCACGTAGTTCTCGAGCCTTGGTTTTCAGCTCCATCAGCTCCTTTAAGCACTTCTCTGTATTGGTCATTCTAGTTATACATTCTTCTAAATTTTTTTCAAAGTTTTCAACTTCTTTGCCTTTGGTTTGAATGTCCTCCCGTAGCTCAGAGTAATTTGATCGTCTGAAGCCTTCTTCTCTCAGCTCGTCAAAGTCATTCTCCATCCAGCTTTGTTCTGTTGCTGGTGAGGAACTGCATTCCTTTGGAGGAGGAGAGGCGCTCTGCTTTTTAGAGTTTCCAGTTTTTCTGTTCTGTTTTTTCCCCATCTTTGTGGTTTTATCTACTTTTGGTCTTTGATGATGGTGATGTACAGATGGGTTTTTGGTGTGGATGTCCTTTCTGTTTGTTAGTTTTCCTTCTAACAGACAGGACCCTCAGCTGCAGGTCTGTTGGAATACCCTGCCGTGTGAGGTGTCAGTGTGCCCCTGCTGGGGGGTGCCTCCCAATTAGGCTGCTCAGGGGTCAGGCGTCAGGGACCCACTTGAGGAGGCAGTCTGCCTGTTCTCAGATCTCCAGCTGCGTGCTGGGAGAACCACTGCTCTCTTCAAAGCTGTCAGACAGGGACATTTAAGTCTGCAGAGGTTACTGCTGTCTTTTTGTTTGTCTGTGCCCTGCCCCCAGAGGTGGAGCCTACAGAGGCAGGCAGGCCTCCTTGAGCTGTGGTGGGCTCCGCCCAGTTAGAGCTTCCCGGCTGCTTTGTTTACCTAATCAAGCCTGGGCAATGGCGGGCGCCCCTCCCCCAGCCTCGCTGCCGCCTTGCAGTTTGATCTCAGACTGCTGTGCTAGCAATCAGTGAGACTCCGTGGGCGTAGGACCCTCCGAGCCAGGTGCCGGATATAATCTCGTGGTGCGCCGTTTTTTAAGCCCGTCGGAAAAGCGCAGTATTCGGGTGGGAGTGACCCAATTTTCCAGGTGCCGCCCGTCACCCCTTTCTTTGACTCGGAAAGGGAACTCCCTGACGCCTTGCGCTTCCCAAGTGAGGCAATGCCTCGCCCTGCTTTGGCTCGCGCACGGTGCGCGCACCCACTGGCCTGCGCCCACTGTCTGGCACTCCCTAGTGAGATGAACCCGGTACCTCAGATGGAAATGCAGAAATCACCGTCTTCTGTGTCGCTCAAGCTGGGAGCTGTAGACCGCAGCCGTTCCTTTTCGGCCATCTTGACTCCTCCCCTATGTCAGGTATTTTAAAAGTCACTGATGATTCAAATGAAAATAATATAATGAGACTTAGTCTTCTCAAAAATTGATAAAAAATTATATAGATATATACATAGACATACATACATATTTTCAAAGTTTATGTCTACTTCTAAATATTGGCCACTGAAAAGTATACCCCTGTGATATTGCAGTTTTGTTAAATATAATTTTAGGAAGGTTAGAGAGCAGACAATAAGTTTAGTAGAAAAATGTATGAAACTTAAGAATTCTGGTGGCTTCATATGAATGCAAATATTATTTTTCTTTAAAAAGTTTATTTCCTAAGAAGAAAGAGCTTAATATGAGTATGAGCTTCAGAAAGCATCACATCTAATTCCTCCATTTTTAAAGCCATAGAAATTTGAACTATGGAAAAATATGCCCTGATTGACATAAGGATAAAGTAGGCTTGATAGATTCATTGTTTTCTATATGAATACTCAATGGCTTTAAAATTGAGAAGTATTCTAAACTTCACTCATTCATTTGGGATCTAATTTACATAAATTTCAGCACTATAAGTCTGTTTTGTAAATAGTACTCTCTATAAAACATATATTTTATCTGATTCTTATTTGGTCCCACTTAGTGAAAATGCACACACATGGGATGTAGACACAGACCAACGCACACATGGTTTTAAAAAGACTTTTTGTTGATTATGCAGGAAAAATGCATAAATTATTTTAGACTACTTAACATACAGCGGGCATCACTCTTAAAGCTTTTAAATCGTGCAATCCATTCATGATTGTGAAAATCAGTTTGGAGACACTGCAATGAGTTTTAACGTTTCAAAATTTATGTGTGTGTGTGTGTGTGTATATGTAGGTATACATATATTTTTTAAAAGGATACTTCCAAGTATTTACAAGTATTGGACTAATACTTGTAAAGGAATTAGGTATGAATTTACAAGTATTAGAATAATTATTGGTATAAGAAACCAGGAAAGGGTCTGGGAGAGCAGGGAACCATGGACTGCTAACTCCTAAAGTAAAGTCATATCCATTTATTTCTCTCTGCCTCACAAATAGTACCTTGTGCTGTTACAGCCTAGCTATAAAAAGGTTGGGAAGCATTTCTCTTTGAAGGCTATTTGCTACTCCCAAGCCCTCTTTCACACGGCCAACATCAGCCCCATATTAGCCTTGGATGTCAGGAGGTTTCTCCTCTTACTTTCTTCATCTGATTTGGACACTTCCACCTTGAGCCTTATTCCCTTTTTCCTTTTGGGAAGGCTAAATCTGTTGCAAGTCCTTACATAAGGCCAATTTTTAAAAATTTGTCTGCCCAACTTGACAATTAAACAAACAAAAACCAATGGGTACTCATAGGTAAATCCACAGAAAAGTTTACAAAGTCACTAGTGCTTCACAATTAAGTAGACACTATACATATCAATGAGTGCTTTGTTTCATTTTTCCCTGAATCAATCTAATACATTCTGCTTTAAGAATGGGGAAAAATGGAGACCTAAAGTAGGACTCACAGCAATAAATACTTGTTGAGTGAATACATTTACTGCTGTTTGAATGATGACACTTCATCCATATCCTGGGACATATTTCCTAAAGCACACTCAAGCTTTTAATGAAGGCCAAAATGCTTCTGTGTACATTAATAAGTTGTGTATGTCAGATGAAAATACAATACACAGACTGAATGTGTGACTGGTCCAAGTTCAAACGGTGACTCATATTCTGTTTGATGTTTGGAGCTCAAAAGAGGAATTATATAAAGAAATTTCAACAAGAATGCATATCTTTTTTTAAACCAAAATTTTAATGAAATTGTATCCAGTTTTGTAAAATAAAACTTGCATTCCTGTGGCAGTAAATGTATACAATATAAGAAAAGTAAATCTTAGATGGTCTCAGTTTTATTAAAAATATATGAATACCAGCCTGATTAAAATTTTACTGTGTGAAGAGCACACTGTGATTTTTTTGGATCCAGATGATAATGGGTTACTTTGGAAACACTGGGTTGATGAATGTGGTACATGGTATTGGTTCTGATGGATCCCTCAGTCTCTCTTGCATTTGTCTTTTTAAAAATGATGGGATTGTGTCTCTAATATTCTAATATATATTTTGAGATTCTGTGGATTAATTATCTATACTACCATATTACACAACAAATAAGTCTTTGAACAGTAAGTGAAATGTTTTCACCCTCATTCTAATCAACGTATATGTTGTCAATGGAATGAAGTATTTGAGTTCATTGGATTTGTTAACCAGGATTACAATGAGAATGAATTTGATGCCTAAAATATGTACTAACCTTAGGTGACTTTAATCTTGTCATTTACCTAGAAAAATATTTTAATGTATTATCTTTACTTTTTAAAGTTGATATGCTTCTATAGAAAAGTTATTGTATTTAACTATGTAAAGAAAGAAAGAAAACATGATACAGTCATTCTTCCCTTTGAAAAAGACTAGCAGGTCAATAAATTCTGATTTCCGTCTATGTAAAAGACAAAAGATTAAAATTTGAAGTTGATTTGTTACATAGGATACCTGGTAGAGTTTAGAATTTAAGGGATTATTTTATTTATCTTTAAAATATTTCTAGCTGCTGACAGAAATAGAACACATAAGAGTGAATTAAAATTTATAAATCTCTTCAACCTTTCATAGAATCTGAGTTTATATATTTTCTGGTCTCATTTGCATGAGTGACCTTTTCTAGTGGAGTGAAATCCACAAGGATGCATCTATAAATTAGATTCAGACAAGAATTTAAAGCACCTCCTGACAATGAACTTAGTGAAGCTTTGAAATTTCTTTGTGTGACATGATATAATCTACATACTTGTCAATGTCTACATCTATGACATTCATTAAAAAATGAATCATTCAAAAACAGGAATAGAAGTATGACTTCTTACATTGTTCATAATATGTTTTCATTCCATATTTTTTATTATCTATAGGCTACTAACCACAATTGAGGCTTCTCAAACACGTATTATGTTTACTCAAGTTCCTTCTCAATATTTCATCTAACACATATGTGCACACTTTTAAGCAAAATCTGTTCAAACAACTAAATTATTTATATATGAAAATTAAAGGCAATAGCAATAATTCCTTCCCAGGTTTTATTTCCTTTTGCAGTAATACCACTGTTTATTGAAACTCAGCTGAAAATTACAATTAATACAAAATCATGTCAGTTGGGAAAAAAACAAACAAACTTATAGTTTATCAGTGTTGAAATGGAACTAAAATTGTGTTAGTTATGACTTTAGAAGGCAATGTAGAAGCAACATCTTCTAAAAACAATTTTCCAGAAATATTCAGAATGATTAGGTAAAATAATACAACTTTATTGAATTGATACTCTTCTTAAGTTAGAAAGAGATTTCTCTGCAACTTGATTCCCAATATTTATGGACTTAAAACATATATACACATACTCAAAAGAAGCTTAAATCATTTCCAACTTCATATTTCAAGATATTGCTATGCATACTGAACTCTATATTTTGATTATATCACATTTGAGTTCTATATTTGAATTTCAACGTATTCAAAATATATAATATTCTCTCAAACATTAGCATACTGGAATAGTTTACATTTGAAGAAAAAGTAGAGGGATAAGACTGAATAGCTGATGCCGGAGAATGCTATATACACACAGTGTATATCAGTGGATGAAAAAGCAGCTCTTAATTGAGTCTCTGGCTCATTTACCAAAGTCATAATAATGAGACCCTATCCACCCCTGGTTTCCTATGAACTCACCTGGAGGTCTAACAATGTACTTAACTTAAAATAACCTGGAAACATGAATATTTCTATTATAAGCTTTGCTTTCCTATGGCAATGCAGCTGCCAATTTGAATATTTGAGGACCCACAACACTGCTCTTTTATGCTACAACACGCTGGTTTAGACTTTTGGAGAGAAAAACAGCAGGGCTGATTAATTATCTCAATTGTTGCATTAAAATTTCCCTTCCAATTAAAAAGTCAGATCTTTTGATGCCAAAATGATCTGACTTTATTGCTCTACTGAAGAATTTGGCTCAAACATAGAGATTATATCGTGTTTACTTTTGTCTCCCTTAAATTGTGTGAAGTATAAAATATCTAAAAGTTGTGAATTGAATGAGACTGAATTAATAAAATGAATCCTAAATGTAGAATTTAATTTCTTTTTAATTAAAAAACTGACACAAATAATTCAGACATAATACACCTTTAACTTCTTAGGTTTTAATTGTTAGAAAATGATAATTTCTGTGTCTCCTTTTTAAGTGTCTGGAATTAGATGAGGCAAATATATTTATACCTCTTTGGCTCTTAAAGACAATCTAAGAGATAATAAAATTTAATCTATATTCTATCTGAGATAATCTATATTCTATCTGAGATAGTCAGATCTCTTTTAGTATACCTTCTTAATGTCTTTTGAATATTGTCATTTCTCTCTACCACACTGCTATCCACAGCCCTTGCCTAGATCACCTAAATTTCATGATAGTTGGTTTCCACACACTGTAGCCGTTATGATCCTTCTTGATTTTATGTAATTAGTTTAATGGCATGAAACACATGATTATTTTATGAAAAAGATATTCAATACAGAAAATTAAAAATTATTCAGTTAAATTTAAATCAACATAAATCAATTATGTCCCCACCACTTTCTAAAATATAAAATCCAATTTTCTGTTCTGGTCAGTCACTTGTTTTTTTAATTAAGAAGTATGTTATAAAAACATTTCCTTATTACTACATAAGAATTCAAATAATCATTTTAAAGGATAATGAGTACTTAACTCCCTGAATATACCATAAGTTACTGGAACAATGTAAAATTGAAGAAAACTTTGGTTTTTATCAAATTGCTATGATTATAAAGAATATGAGGAATCCTCTTTACTTACATTTCAATGTTTTGTGTTTTTTTTTTCAATTTCTTTTGTTAAATTCCTAAAATTGGGTTGAGAAATAAGAACTGTTTTTCTTTTAATACATATTACAAGATTCTGTCCATGAAAGCCATACTATGTTACATCCTGATATAGGCCTGTCTGTTCCACGCCATTGGTTCCCAATCTGGTAGCACATTAACATCATGTAGAAAACTGCAAGAAAACATTGATTGTTCAACTCATAACCAGAAAATTGTAAAATAGCGTAATTAAGCAAGGAACAGGGTAATGCTGGCCCCATACAATTAACTGGGGAGTATTTTTTCCTTCTCTGTTTTCTAGAAGAGTTTGCTTAGACTTGGTAGGGTTTCTTCCTTCAGTGATGGCTAACATTCCATGGTGAAGAAATTTGGCCCTGGAATTGTCTTTGTTGGAAGGTTTAAACTGGCATGTTCAATTTCTTTAATACATATGGATCTAGTCAAGTTTCTGTTTATTCTTGCTTGAGCTTTCATAATTTGCAAATATGGAAATAATCAGATTGCTATTTACTCTTGATTGAGCTTTGGTAATTTGTGACTTTTAAGAAATTTCTCAATTTCAATGAAATGATTAAGTATATGACATCAAGTTGTTTATAAATTTTCCTATTATCTTTTTAATGTCTGTAGTTCTATAGTAATACTCTCTCTTAATTTCTGATCTTTGCAATTTGCATTTTTTTGTGATAAGCCTGCCTAACATTGTGTTTTTTCTGTAGTTATTACTACTTTTTTTGTTGATATTGTTCCATTTAGGCTAAATTTTCTTTCTTGATTAAACTTTTTGTTTCTGTTATTACTCTATTTTCATTTATTATTTTGAATAGTTGTTCTTGTCCATTTTACATGCCTAGCTTGTCTTTTTTATTGCTTTTTTTATTCCTAAAAAACAATTTGTTAATCTATTATTTCTGAAAGATTTTTTTCTAATTCAGATATATGCTTTTCCTTTACTAATCAAATTATTCTATGATTCATCTATCTTTTTTTAACTCTGAGTCAGATGATGTTTAATTCATCTTTTGTGCTTTTTCATTCATATGATGACTTAAGTAAAATATGTATTTTCTTCTGAACCTAGTTCTGCTCTACCCAAAGTTTAAATGTAATTTTTAACTGCTACTTTTATAAAATTCAGCAACTTTAATTTTTATTTTCATGATTTTAGTTTTTTAACATACAAGAGAAAGTTACCTCTTTGATTTCTGAATGCTTAAATTTTTAGATGCTTGAAGCTGACATAACATATGATTTAAAATTTTAATTTACATAAAATTATATATATTTGTGGAGTACAGTGTGATATTTCAATACACATATGCCATGTGTAATAATCAGTGAAATTAGCCCATCCACCACCTCAAGCATTTATTATTTCTTTGTGTTGGGAACACTCAAAGTCCTGTCTTCTAGCTTTTTGAAAATATACAATAAGTTATCATTAATTATAGTCATACTTTGGTGCTATAGGACATTAGAAATTAGTCCTCCTCTCTAGCTGTGATTTTTGTGTTTGTGAACCAGAATCTCCCTATCTTCTCCTCTTCCACATTCTTCTCTGCCTCAAATAATTATTTTTTTACTTTCTACTTCTATGAGATCCACAGTTTTAACATCTACATGTGAATGAGAACATTTGGTATTTGTATTTCCATGCCTGGCTCATTTCACTTAACAGAATAGTCTTCAGATTCATCTGTATTTCCACAAACAACTGGATTTTATTCTTTTTTATGGCTGAATAATATTCCATTGTGTATATATGCCACATTTCCTTCATTCATTCATTCATTGATGGATACTTAGATTCCACATTTTGACTCTTGTGAGTAGTGCTGTAATAAACATGAGAGTGCAGATATTTCTTTGAGATACTGATTTCCGTTCTTTTCAATATATACCCAGTAGTGAAGTTGCTGAATCATATAGTAGTTCTATTTTTGTTTTTTGAGGAACCTCCATATTGTTTTCCATAATGGCTGAACTAATGTAAATTCCTAACAACAGTCCATAAGAATTTCCTGTTCTTCACATCCTCCCAACATTTTTTATTTTTTATGTCTTTTTGATAAAAGTCATTCTAACTGGAATGAGAGAATATCTTGCTGTCTTTTTGATCTGGATTTCCATGATGATTAGTGATGTTGATCATATTTTTATGCATGTGTTGGCCATTTGTATGTCTTCTTTTGAGACGTGTCTATTCAGAACATTTTCCCATTTATTAATTGGGGTTTTTTTGTTTGTTTTCCTGTTGAGTTGTTTGAGTTCCTTGTATATTCTGAATACTAAACCCTTGTAGAATGAATAGCTTGCAATTATTTTATCTCATTCTGCAAGTTGTTTATTCATTCTGTTGGTTGTTTCATTTGATGTTCAGAAGCTTTTTAATTTGATACAATTTCATCTGTCTACTTTTATTTCGATTGCCTGTGTTTTTAAAGTCTTAATCATAAAATCTTTACCCAGACTAATGTCTTAAAGCATTTCCTTTATGTTTTCTACTAGAAGTTTTATAGTTTGGGGTCTTACAGTTAAGCTTTTATCCTGATTATGCATACAGATATCTCATTTTACCAGCATCATTTATTGAAAACACTTTCCTTTTCCTGATGTATGTTCTTGGCACATTTGTTGAAAATTAGTTGGCTGCAAAAACATAGATTTGTTTCTAGGTTCCCTATTCAGTTTCATTGGTCTATGTGTCTATTTTCATACCAGTTACCATGTTACTTTGGTTAAATCTTGATAGTATATTTTGAAATCAGGTAGTGTGAGGCATACAGTTTTGTTCTTTTGCTTCAGATTGCTTTTGCTATTTGGGGTCTTTTGTAGTTCCATACAAATTTGAAACTTCTTTTTTCCATTTTTGTGAAGAATGCCATTGGTATTTTGATAAGGATTGCATTGAATCTTTAGATTGTTTGGGGTAGTATGGACTATATAAATTCTTCTAATTCATGAACACTGTATATAGGTATATTCCTTCTATACCTAATTTGTTGAGAATTTTTATCATGATGAATGTTGGATTTTATCAAATGCTGTTCTGCATTTTATCTATTGAGATGATCATATGGAACTTGCCCTTCATTCTGCTGATATCATGTATCACTTATTGATTTGTGTATGTTGACCACTACTCGCATCTCTTGGATACATCCCACTTGATCATGATATATAATCTTTTTCATATGCTGTAGGATATGGTTTGCACTAAAATATGGGCTCTTCACCTCATTTAATGTTGTTGGTATGAATTCTACCTTATGTAATATTAAAATCATAGACCTTTGATATCTTTTGTTTGCATTTGCCTAGTAAAATTTTTCACTTGCGCATTTCATTTTAGTCGTTTGAAATCTTTATTTTACCTATGTCTCATAAATATAGCATCTGATTGGGTTTTGGTTTATTATACTGTCTTAAAATTTTTATTTTATAAAGGAAATAAGCTTATTTATATGTAGTGATGTGACAGACATACTTGCTCTTAGTTCTGAAATATTTTGTTATAATTTTTGTGTGTATATATCAGGAATTTTAAAAAGATTTTCATTAGGAGATAATTTTCCTTTGTCTTAAAAATATTATTGCTCAGATTTTGGCTTCCTGTAATGACAGATTAGCTATTGGGAAGCAGGGATAACGCTTCTTACAGATAACAATTATAGAAGCCATATAAACTATTAAAATACATCTGAAGGTAATTTTAAAAAGATCACGGACAGAAACTGTCTATCTTTGAAAGGTGAGATTTCTAATTTATTTCTTTTGCCCAAGGACTGTTCAAAATTCTCATGCAGCCCAGTACAGAAGTTACAGTATTAGTGTCTTAGGTGACAGAGGAGAGTTTTGGGGGCTTGAAGAATAGTCAGAAATGTAGAGGGAATATACCAAATTGAAAGGGACTTTAGAGGCAGTGAATTAAGTTGAAATAAATAAAGATTTCAGCTGTTGCCACAGCCAAGGAGGCAGTTTGGAATCTGTGTTTAGTCAAATTTACTGTGCTAAAACAAACCTCTTCACAGGAATATAACATAATCCTGAGCTTGCACAAAATAACATTGATGAAGCTTGGTAAACTCTCAAATATCATTAAATATGGAAAGAAACAGAAAAATAAAACCCATATTCAAGAAAAATGGCAAGAAATAGAACTGAGATGTACTAAATGTTGTAATTATTGGGCACAGACTTTCAAGTAGCTATCATAAATATATTTTATGATTTAAAAAGTTCACTCCTAATGATTAAACAGAGAAACTCAGCAGATTATAAAATGTACCGAATAAAAATTTTAGAGATGAAAATAATAACTGAAATGAAAGACTTGTGTTATGGGCTTCGCTGAAGATTAGCGATGATTTAAAATATAATAAGTAATCTGTAAAAAAGGAAAACAATACATATACATACATATATATTTGTATATGGAAAACAATTTGAAGAACAGATAGAAACATTAAGGAAAAAATAATGAGACTTCAGAAACCTGTAAAATAATATTAAGCCATCGATTATATGTTCAATTAGAGCAGTAGAGGGGTAAAAAGGGTAGAACAGGCAAGAAAAAAATATATAAAAAAAGGTAGAAAACCCTCCATTTAGGTGAAAACTATAAATATATTAATCCAAGAATCTCAACAAACCCCAAGCAAGATGAGAACAGAAAAATATAGAATAAAAATCATGCCAACAAGAAAAGAAAAAACCTGACAGTTCTTTACTTTCAAGGACTCTAGGCCATACCTAGAATAATTTGAAGTTTGTGGATTTTTCTCTTGCTCCATACTTAGAAGTAATTTGAAGATTGGATATTTCCTTGGAGTTTGTGCTTCTCCCCTATTCTCCTTGTTTCTTTATATTACTTTCAGAAGCAGAGAAAGGAGGTCCAGAACTAAGCACCATCGTGTTTATACTAGAACTAGAGGATGAACTGAGAATAGGGGCAATCTCACTCAAACTATACGACTCAGAAAACAGAGCAGGAGTAAGGGGAAAGGGAGTAATGAGTATAGAGAGGATAACTATCAAGTATCCACTAAAATGTTACTAACTTTTTAGTAATGATTTCTAATATGCCATGAGCTCTTGCCACCTACAGATTGAGAAATTCACATACTATGTACCCACAAAATTTTAAAAAATAAAATGTTTGAACTATTTTTTCCTAAGATTGCGTTAAAGCATTTTTCCACTTATTCTGTTCTATTTCCAGGAAGCACCAGTTATCTATATTTATAAACTGAATAAATGGATGCCCTACACAATTCTTACTAATACTCGTGGAGCAGGTAACCATACATTGAGATCTCTGCTAATGCTGCCACAGAAAACCAGACACCCTCATGATGGTCTCTGGTACCAGGCACAAAAGAAACGGCAAAAGCAAGCCACCATATTGCATTAACTATGCAAATGTCATGGGAGTGTGACTGATTGGCAGAACCAAAATTACATTCAGAGCTATAGCTGCAAGACTTCCTGGAAAATATAGAATTCAAGCCGCTGCAATAAAGAAAAACACACCAGAAATATGTTTAAATGACTGTTGTTCTCCAACCAATTATGTCCACTTCCAATTAAAATAAAGGACTTTGCTTCTTTTTGTTTCCCTTTGTTACTATGGTCAGAGTAAGACAGTCATCATTTACTAAATCATCCCAGTCTGGTTTTAAAAAAATTCATATCTGATTATGTCATATCTTGCTTAGAACATGAGAACATATTTGCAAAAAATTATTTATTATAATTTTGCTTATCTATTATTTATTATCTTTCAGTTTAAAAAAGATGTGTCCTGTTGCTGAGCCTACATACAAATCACTTGACATTGAAAGAAGGTTGAATTTCATTACCTTATTCCAAATGATTTTAGTATGTAATTGTATACCAATAGCAGGCAAACACAATTTCATTCATGATCCATGGTAAAGAAGTCAATCCAGGTTACATGTGTTAGTCTGAGTATGAGATGAAAATATCCTGGTAGAAGTGAGAATTATTTGTACTATAAAAGAAAGAAGACTTAAAAGAAGCCAGACCCTGAGAATATTGAACTGTCAAGTAATATAAAAACTGTTCTATTCTTGAACCAAAAGATAGGATAGCCAGGCCATTAACTGTTGATAAACCAAACGTTCAAATCCAGTTTGGGTATGTATACAATATGTAAATAGATATTTGTTTAAAAAGTGATCTTTTTCAAAAGGAGATATGAAACGGAGGCACATTTCTTATAAATCAAAATATAACATACACTTAGTGATAATGTCACTCCATCTTAATCCTAGATTCCCACTTTCTTGTGTCCTACATAGCATACAGTTAAATGTAAAGATAGAAATATTGATGGAGTAAACTCAGGGGCCAAGATTTTACTTTTAAATAAGTGGAAACTTTTTTTAAGTGTGATCTTTGATTAAAACTGTAATTCCTTCAAGTTTGTATTCCTTCAAAATAACTTATGACAGGAATACTGAAGTCATTATCATATTCTGATTAAACATCTGGTTTGGAATGTCATTATAGATAAAAATCCAAAAAAGTAGTTTTTAAGGGAAATTTTAATGTGTTCAGATATGCCCTTAGGAACAATGAAAATGTGTGGCATATAAATATGTCACAGTTTTCTTGTTGCTGGAGAGCTATGAAAATTTTAATCAAGCCTTGATTTTCAGTGAAGGTCACTCATTCATTGATTCTATGTATATTTACTGAATGCTGACTACGTCTCAGGTATTATTTTAGAAGCATTCATTGGTGAAATAAACAGCAAAAGTATTTCCACTGACACTTTTATTCTAGTGGATGGAGACAGAAAATAAAGAAAACAAAGGGGCATAATAAAATAACATATCAAATGTTGATAATTCCTGATAAATTCTATGGAGAAAAATGAAGTAATAAATAAGAAGATAAAAAGCCTCCTTATTATATGTCCATTATAAATGGACACTGACCAAAGATCAAAAGTTGGACAAATTTATTATTATTTCAAGGCAAGATGAGGAGCAAGTGCCAAACCCCGAGGCCAAAACTTGTCCAGAGTGTTCAAGAAATAGCAAGGAGTTCAGCGTGCTGGGAGGAAATATTGGGGAGATATGGTCAGAGAAAATAGGGAAGGCAAAATCAAGTAAACTCTGAATACCCTCATAAGAATCTGTCTGTTCTCCTACACCGTGGGCCATGGGAGGGTTTGAGGAATAAGGATAACATGATCTGACTTAAATCGTAAGGAACAAGTGTGGGAGCAGAGGGACAAATTCAAAGGTCACTTTATTAATTTTGGTGAGAAATGCTTGTGGCCTGAGTTGGAGTGCCAGTTAATGGAAGTGATAGGAAATGCCGAAGGTCATCTTTTTTAAAACTCAAGAAGGGGAGAGATTTAATGCACATGGTTTGACCTAGACACATAGATGTTTCATCCATTATAAAAGGAAAGATGATTGAATATACATAGGCAGTGATTGTGGAAACTTGTAGGTGTTCTATTCTAATGGATTTTTCTTAGTAAAACAGTAGCAGCATTACCAAGCATGAATAAGGAACATGAGCAGATGTGGGAAATGTACTCTGATTGCCATGCAAATCTATAGTTTGTGTATTCGATGTTAGCAGTCAATAATTTCAAATGCAAGAGCATGGATGTGTGTTATTCTCTGTGTAGCCATATTTAGCTATATGTCTATAGTATCAGAGCAGGCAGAGAGTTGAATTTAACCAGGGAAGGGATTTTGCCAAGTGAGTACAAAATATAAAGGAGTAGCAAGAGAGTTGAGAGTGTATGCAAGGGAATAATTTTATTGGTAAAATATAGCCTCAAAGCTGGAGCAGAAGAAAATAATAATGTGAGTGTGTTGAGATATGGTAAATTGTAGTTAGATTAATGGATTCTAGGTACTAGTAAGTACGAAGAATTGATGGAGTTGCAATACTAAAGGGAGGGAGCTGAAGACAGATGTAAGCATTAGAGAGAAGTATGCATGAAATTGAGATTATGAAGAGGTTATTTTTATTTATAATAACAAGATCCAGGGCATGAGCATAGACGTGAAAGGATAAAGTAGAGTTGAGAACAAAATCATGGGAAGAGGAAGTGAGCAGAGCGGAGAGAACTGGGAGTTATGGGTAATAGGAGGATAATATACAATGTAGATAACAAAATTACTAAGACTATAATGAGTAGTGTTGGAAGAACTAATAAGAAAAATACTTAAATCTTCAAAGAATGGAAGGAGTCATCTGTATGCAGAATGACTACAAGTATTCATTGCCTATAATTCAGAAATAAATGATTTTAGGGAGAGAAGAAGGAAAATAGTCTGTAAGAATAATGCGACAAAGGAAGACACCAAAAATGATACTGGGAGTGCGCGTGAGGGATAAAAGAATTACAGTGAACAACCTATCAGGCAAGCAAGTCACTGGTTTTTGTTGTTGTTGTTGTTGTTGTTGTTTTTGCTTTTGTGAAGATGGACATTTCTATGAGGATTTGCCACCTCTATGCTAACGATCTTGTTGAGGATAATCCTGTACAACTTTTCCTTTACTTGCATGATTAAATAAATAGGCTGGGCAAGATCACATGTTGGTGGAATTTTAATGATCAGAATAGTTTTAATGCATCTCCTACAAATCAATTCTACAAAGAAGTTGTGAACCACCTGGTTATTATCTGAAATTAAATATGTGGAGAATTATATTAATTGTTCTTTCTTAGGAATGGTTTTCTTCACATATTGTGCCAAGATTATAACATAACTTAATTAAGTTTAGCTGTTGTCAGAGAGTTTGTGTTTTAGAAACAAGCTATTTTAAATCACAAATTTTCTCATTTAGCCTTTAAATGGTCCTAGAGATAAGAAAGCTGGCATTGCTGCCATATTTCTCCCAAGCTGTTTTTGGAGATGGCATTGTTACTCTCTTGGGGGAAATTTAAACTGCATCTCTGATAATTGCCAGGAAAGAGAATATTATATATGAGCTATCAATCTTCACAGAAGGTTTAGATAAGATAAAGGATATCTGAGGTCACGAAAGGGTCTGTTTTCAAGTGATATATAGGTTTTATACTCTTTTAAAATCTCACAGCTGTAGTAAGGTCATCGGTGTCATGCTCAGAATAAGTGATTTGAATCATTATTTTCTTACAGTTATTTTTTATGTAATGGAGCTAGAAAACTGCAGTAATCCTCCCTTATTCTCAGAGGATACATTCCAAGACCCCTGGTGGATGTCTAAAATTGTGGATAGTAAAAACCCTACTTATACACTATGTTTTTTCCTACACATCCATCCCAATCATCAAGATTAATTTATCAGTAAGACACACAGGAAGAGATTAGCAATGATAAGTAATAATCAAATGGAATAATTTTTATAGCAGCATACTACAATAAAAGTTATATAAATGTGGTCTCTCTCTCTCTCTCTCAAAATATCTTATTGTACTGTATTCACCCATCTTGTGATGACATGAGAAGATAAAATGCCCATGTAATAAGATGAAATGAGGTAAATGATGTAGGCATTGTGATATAAGTAGAAAATTCCAGAAATAAACAACTCATAAGTTTTAAATTCCACACCATTCTGAGTAGCATGACGCAATCTCATGCTGTCCTGTTCTGTGCCCCTCCCCACCCCCCATTGCTATTCTGCTGTCACAGTATCGCAATGCTTGTGTTCAAATGGCTCTTATTTACTTAGTAATGGCCCAAGGTGCAATATAGTGTCGTATTTTCTGATCACAGTTGACTGGGGGTAACTGAAATTGCAGAAAATGAAACTTTTAATAAGGGCGGACAACTGTACTCTAGTTTAGAAAGTCAACATTTAGCAAAAATAAGAATTCATCTCATTAAAAAAGGAGATGATGAAACTCCTCAATTACATTATTTATGAATTCCTCCAATTCAATTTTCACAAGGGAGGGTTTTAGTATTTTTCTAATCTTAGTGACAATAATATGTTTTTATTTTTTAAATATTTATATTTCATTATCAAGAAGCAAGCTAAATTTTAAGGTGTCAAGTTCAAATTTTTAAAGCTACTTTAAAATTTTCTTTAAAACCCTATATATTCATTTTGATAAGTAACTTATTTTCAAGTATTACCTCTCGTATGCTAAAAAATTTCAACCTTGAGGATGAACACTAAAAATTTAAGCAACTCCTCACTAAAAGTAGCAATTTAGTGTCATGTAGGTCCATTTTACCCCTTTATCTATTTAGAGGAAAAAAATAAGAGGAGTAAAATGCATAGGCTCCCTAGCAGTTCAAGCTCTAGGATATTCAATTACTTGGTGGCAGCTGATCATTAGATTAGATACATCCCAGCACATCACAGAGGGTGAAAAGCTTCCTCCAGAGACAAAGATGCTTTAAAGCAATTTCACATCTAATTATGTTTCCTGTAAGATTTTGTTTGTGTCTAATTTAAAATAGGATGTAATCTGCTAGAGAGAGAAAAAAAATCAAAAGATTAACATCACCTTATTATCTTGTATGAAATAGGCCTGGTCTCAGACTGATGTGAAGAAAACTATTTATAGAAAATTTTTGCTCTCTGTTATTTAAAAGAGAGGTTGCTGCTGGATAGATTATATGAGCAGATGTATTAATTTAGCATAATGTACCAGCATACCACCATAACCCCAGCAGCTAATGTCTGTAATAAAAATGTTTGCTTTATATACTGTTATACACCTAAAGAACATTCTAGTGTATGTTGTCTTGGACCATGACCTTCATAAATTCTTTATAATAAGTGGATGTAAGAGCCTGCAACATATGTGGGCCAAGTTCAATTGAATTATGATTCAAAAAGATGTTTTCATTATTTTCTTCATACTCAGCATTAGAAAGTATTATAGTAAACTTGAAAATGCATTTTTTCACACAAGTGAATCTAATTCAGGTTGTGTCCTTGTTCAGAGTTAGTTCTAGGCATTTGTAAATTTGAAAAAAGTATATTCTATTTTTGTGCCTATTAATTATTGGTTTATGTTGCAAAGGGTTTGAAAACAAGCATTGTTTCCTGTACTTATTGTTTATGCTTGTACTTTTAAATAGAAAAATGGCTTATTACCCAGAAAAACTATTCAAAAATTAGAAAAGTAGACAAGTGAACTTTTGGTACCCAATAATATACAATACTTATTTGAGACTTATTTCCCTTTGTCCTTTTAACATGTAGTCATTAAAAAAGTTTCTCTTTCCTTTGATAATAATCTATCTTTAACTGGCCTCATAGTTTTAAAACTCACTTTTAGATAATTAAAAGTTCTCTAGTCATTTTTTTTTATTTTTAATTTTTGTGGGTACATAGTAGGTGTATATGTTTATGGGGTATATGAGATATTTTTATACAGGCATATAAAGTGTAATAACCACATCAGGGTAAATGTGGTATCCATCACCTCAACCATTTATCCTTGTATTGTGTTAAAAACAACCCAATTCTACCCTTTTAGTTATCTTAAAATGTACAGTTAAATTACTATTGACCATAGTCACCCTGTTGTGCTATCAAATAATATATCTTATTCATTCTTTGCAACTATTTTTGTACCTATTAAGCATCCCCACTCACCCCGTACACTCCACCTCACCGTGCCACTACCCTTCCTAGTCTCTGGTAACCATCATTTTATTCTTTGCCTCTATGAATTCAATTGTTTTAATTTTTGGCTCTCACAAATAAGTAAGAACATGTGAAACTTATCTCTTTCTATGCATGGCTTATTTCACTTAACATAATGACCTCCAGTTCCATCCATGTTATTGCAAATGACAGGATCTCATTCTTTTTTTATAGCTGGCTAATACTGTATTGTGTATAGGTACCACATTTTCTTTCTCCATTTATCTGTTGATGGACACTTAGGTTGTTTCCAAATCTTGGCTATTGTGAATAGTGCTGCAATATACATGGGAGTGCAGATATCCTTTAGATATACTGATTCCCTTTCTTTTGGGTATAATCTAGCAGTGGGATTGGATCACATGGGAGCTCTATTTTTAGTTTTCTGAGAAATCTCCAAACTGTTCTCCATAGTGGTTGTACTAATTTCCATTCCCACTAACAGTATATGACATGGTTTGGCTCAGTGGCTCCACCCAAATCTTATCTTGAATTGTAATCCCGATTATCCCCACGTGTCTAGGGACAGAGCTGGTGAGAGGTGATTGGATCATGGGGGCGGTTTCCCCCATGCTGTTCCCATGATAGTGAGTCAGTTGTCATGAGATCTGATGGTTTTATATGGGGCTCTTCCCCCTTCGCTCCTCATTCTGCTCCCTCTCCTGCCTCAATGTGAGAAGGTCCCAGCTTGCTTCCCCTTTGCCTTTCACCATGATTGTAAGTTTCCAGAGGCCTCCCCAGCCATTTGGAACTGTGAGTCAATTAAACCTTTTTTCTTTATAAATTACTCAGTGTCTGGTATTTCTTTATAGTAGTGTGAAAATGGACTAATATAGTATAAAGGGTTTCCTTTTCTCCATTTCCTTGCCAGCATTTATCGTTGATGGATAAACTTGTTTTAGCTGGAGTGAAATGGTGTCTCATTGTAGTTTTGATTCAAATTTCTCTGATCATCAAAGATTTTTGAACACATTTTTATATGCCTGTTTGCCATTTGTATGTATTCTTTTGAAATAAGTCTAATCAGATCTTTTGCCCATTTTTAATTGTATTATGAGATTTTTTTTCCTATACAGTTGTTTGAGGTCGTTATATATTCTTTTATTATTATTATATATTCTGGTTATTAATCCCTTTTCAGATGGATAGTTTGTGAATATTTTCTCCCATTCTATATATTAAATTTTTAATATCTCAAGTCATTAAAACAAGCAATTCTCCACACTAATAAAAATGTTTGCAATAGTCAATTTATTGGTGCATTAAAAATACATCAAAAATTTCTGTTGCTTCCACAGCAAAGATTTGTTTCTTGCTCTCAAGTCTGTGGAGCAACTACAGTTCTCCTGAATTCTCCTGGGCTCAGCTGGTCTAAGCTGGATATGAGGCTTTGATTCAGTTGAAGTCTTTCTCACTTGTCTCTATCATTCTTCAGTCAGTTAGTACCCAGGACATTTGCTTCTCAAGGTAATAGCGTAAGTGCAAGACATAGAAACAAACATGCAAACATATAATTTAAAGCCCCTGATTTTATTACACTCACTATTATTACATCAGCCTCAGAAACTGACATGGCTAGATTCAGAATTAGTGAGGTGAAAAATTATTACCACAGTGAAATGAGGGAGAAGATAAAGGCAGAGTGGGAAAAAAAAGTTGTTGGAAGACAATACAACCTATCACAACATCAAATCTGATGTAAGGGCAAAATTTCTCCCTTTCTCCAGTCACTGCGCATAGTAAGTAAACTTGCAGTTTGCAGTGGAGATGGTTGGTATGGTCATTCTATTCTCATCTCTTCCACCCTGCCTCAATAACCATAATAACTCACTCGTAAGTAGAAGTAGAGATGTGACAGGAAGGAAGACATTTAAGGGAAGAGGTCAGTTAAATTTCTTGTATGAATGTTCATTGTCATAAGATGACTTTCCACTGCATGTGCCTGGCTGATGCTTAGAGATAATGTCCTGGGGTCTGTTTTTGGTATTAAACGCATTCTTCTGATTGTGCTAAAACTTTCAGACATAAACAGTACTTTTTTATTCCCATTTTAAAACATTGTGGTAAAATATACATAACATAAAGTGTACCATCTTAACCATTTTAAGTGTACAGTTCAATGGTATTAAATACACTCATAATATTGTGGAACCATCACATTTATCTATCTCCATAACTCTTTCATCTTGTAAAACTAAAACTCTATACCCATTACATAATAATCCTTTATTCCCTCATCCTCACAGCCCTTGGCAAAGGCCATTCTACTTTCTGTCTCTGTGATCTTAACTACTCATATATGTGAAATTATACAGTATTTGTCTTGTTGTGACTGGCTTATTTCACCTAGCATAATGTATTTGAGGCTCCATGTCAGGATACCATACTGTTTTTTTGCAGTGGCTGTATCATTTTACATTCCCACCAAAAGTGCACAAGAGTTCTAGTCCCTCCAAATTCTAGCCAACACTTGTTATTTTTTTTTTTTTGATGCTAGACAGCCTAATAAATGTAAGGCAAATGCAAACAAAAGCATTTGATTTTTGTGTGTTGATGTTGTATCCTGATATGTTGCTGAATTCATTTGTTAGTTCTAACAGTTTGTTGTTGTTGTAGAATCGTTAAGGTTTTCTACATCTAAGACCATATCATCTGCAAATAGATAATTTTCTTACTTTCCAATTTTGGTCTTTATATTTCTTTATTTTACCTAATTGTTCTGGCTAGCACTTTGAATACTATGTTGAATAGCAGTGCCACAAATAGACATTCTTGCTTTGTTCCTGATCCTAGAGGAAAAGCTTTAAGATTTACACCATTGAGTTTTGAATTTGCTGTAGTTTTTTTCAATATATATTTCATTATCTTGACACAGTTTTTTTTTTTAGCATTTTTTAAGTAAGGATGCTAAACTTTGTCAAATGCTTCTTCTAAATCAATTGAGATAACAATGTGAGTTTTTTCCTTCATTCTGTTAATGAGGTGTATTACATTCATGAATTTTCATATATCAAACCAATCTTTTTTTTCCAGGAATAATTTCCATTTGATCATGCTGTATAATCCTTTTAATATACATGCTAATATTTTTTGAGGATTTTTACATTAATGTTTAAAAGGGATATTGCTGTACAGTTTTCTTGTAGTGCCTTTGGCTTTAGTATCAAAGTAATTCTGACCTCAGAATGAATTAGGAAGTGTTTCTACTCTTCAATTTTGAGAAAATTTGAAAAGCAATGGTATTAGTTCTTTTTAAAATGCTTGGTAACATTCACCAGATAAGCCATCAGGCCCTGGGCTTTTCTTCTTTTTTTAATTGCATACTGACAAATTATAGTTGTATATATTTATGGAGTACAGAGTGATGTTACAATTTTTGAATACAAGCAGAATGATTAAATCAAGCTAAGTAACATATCCATTGTCTCAAATATTTAATATTTTTGTGATGATAACTTTAGAAATTTACTCAGTGATATTGAAATTTGCAGTACTCAATTATTAGCTATATTCACCATGTTTTACAATAGATCTCATAAAAATTAGACTTATTTCTCCTAATTGAGGCTTTGTACCTTGTGACTATAATCTCCACATTTTTCCTATCCCAAGGCCCATGAAAACCACCATTCTATTCTCTGCTTCTATCAGTTCTTTTGTTTTAGATTCCACCTAACAGTGAGAACATGTGGTATTTATCTTTCCATGTTTGGCTTATTTCATTTAACATGTTTTTCCAGTTCCATCTATGTTGTCTCAAATGATAGAATTTCTTCCTTTTTTAAGGCTGAATAGTCATTCATTGTGTATGTATGCCATATTTTCTTTATCCATTTACCCTTGATGAACACTTAGTTTGATTTCATAACTTGGCTATTGTGAATAATGCTGCAATAAACATAGGTGTTCAGATATCTTTTTGATACACTGATTTCAAATCTTTTGTGTAAATACTCAAAAGTGAAATTGCTGGGCTTTTCTTTAATGGGAGAAATTTTATAATTAATTCCATCTTATTATTGATCTATTCAGATACTTTATTTCCTTGTAACTTAGTGTTCATAGGTTTTGTTTTTCTAGGAAACCATCCATTGGTATACAGGTGTTCATAGTATTCTCTTCTAAATCCTTTTATTTTGATAGAATCCATATAAATGTCTCATTTTCACTTCTGATTTTAGCAGTTTGAATCCTCCATTTTTCTCTTGTAGGAATAGGTTCACAAATTTTGTTGATTATTTTTAAGAACCACCATTTGATTTGCTTTCTTTTCTGTTTTTTTTTTTTTTTTGGTCTATTTCACTTATCACTGTTCTAATCTTTATTCTTTCCATTCTTCTGCTAGCTTTGGGTTTATGTTGTTCTTCTTTTCTAAGTTCTTAAGTTGTAAAGTTAGCTTGTTGATTAGAGATTTTTCTTGTTTTTCAATATAGGCATTTATAGCTGTATTTTTCCATATTAATGCTTTCATGGTGCCCTATCAGTTTTAGTAGATTGTGTTTTCATTTTTCTTCATCTCTAAGTATTTTCTAATTTTCTTTATAATGTTTTTGTTGATCTCTTTGTTGTTTAAGAGTGTATTGTTTACACAACTTTGTACACTTTCCAATTTTACTTTTTATTGTTTTTTATCTTCTTTTTATTGTAGTTGGAGAAGATACTTTGTATAATATCTATCTTTTAAAATCTATTGAGAATTCATGGCCTAACAGATCATCTATCCTGAATAATGTCCTAATGCTCTTGAGAAGAATGTATATTCTGTTTTGATGGCTAGAGTGCTCTGCAAAAGTCTGTTAAATCTAGTTGGTTTATTGTGTTAAGTCCTCTGTTTCCTCACGTATCATCTCTCTGGTTGTTCTATTAATTATTGAGGGTAGATTATTGCAGTCTGTATTATTGTATAACTATCAATTTCTCCTTTCAATTTTATCAGTTTTGCCTCATATGTTTTGATGTTCTTATTAGGTGCATAAATGTTTATAATTATAACTTGCTGTATTGAATCTTTTATTAATATATAATCTCTTTTGTCTCTTGTCAACTTTTTGAATTTGAAGTCTATTTTTTCTGATAGTTAACCCTGCCTTCTTTTGTTTAATATTTTCATATTTTTGCATATTTTCACTTTCAATCAATTTGTGGTTTTGGATTAAAAGTTATTATCTTATAGATAGTATATAGTTGAATTATGTCTTTTTATCCATTCTAAAAATCTCTGTTTTGATTTTTTTATTGGAGAGTTTAATCCATTTACATTTAAAATAATTACTGATAAAGAGGGACTTAATTGTGTTATTTTGCTGTTTGTTTTCTATATGCCCTGCAAGCTGTGCACAAGCTGCTCCAGGAATTCAGCTGGCTGCCACTGGGATGGGGGATGAGTAGCTGATACTCTGCTATGACAAAAAATTGACCAAATTAAACACAGATTACCTTCTAAATATTCCCCTTGGATGTGTCAAGCCTTCAATAGACTTCAGAGTTACAAAATCGTTACTTCAGACATATTCTACCAGTAAAATTGTTGTCTAGGTGGAGTTACAGATTCCTGGTGCTTTCTACTCCACCATTTTGCCAGAATCCTCCCATAGGCAACGTTTTCTATAGCTGAAGATTTCCGTCTTCAGCATTGTTTTTTTTCCATCAGTCCCTGCCTTATAGTTTCAAAAGTCTTGACAAGGGAGTCAGGGCTCCCTTGCTGGGGGCCTAAGAAGAATGAAACTAATTTTCAGCCTGGTTTCAACAATTTTCTTTGAAATAATCAATTTGATCTGACACTTCACTTTGATATGTAGCACACATTATTAGTTGGCACCCTGGTCAAAGCTTCAATTTTAACATCCCTTATATGTGAATAGCAGTAAAGCCAGCATAAGTAGTTATGAATAGTGATTTCACTTGGGTAGGACTTAGGAGAGCTCTTGGTTTGTTCTGCCTCCCATGTGGTACTTGCCACAAGGGAAGTACTCAAGCCATTTGACCTACCATTGAAAGTCAGTCCAAATACTCCCTAGAAGCAATCACAGTTCCCTGTTGCTCCCTTGCCTAATCGGTGCTCCAGCTCATCTCTGTAGCTTGCACACTATTATTTCTAAACTGCAGAAGATATATTCCAATCTCTCTGTAAGTGGCTTTAAAAATGTTTCTGTATGTAATTGAGGTAAAAGAAAGAGCCGTACGCCCACCACCACTTTTTTTTTCTTTTTCTTTTTTTTTTTAGAAATGAGGGGAGGTGAAGAAAAACATAGAGGGTGGCAGTTCTATTTCAAAAGCCTATTAATAAATTCTTTCTTTTTTATTTTCTAGAACTTTTTATATCCTAGATTTGGAGTCAAGGCTCCCTTATGAGAGAACCCAAGATTGATGCAACCAATTTTCAGTCTGTTTTTCAACCATCTTCTTTGAAATAAACGATTTGATCTGACACTTCACTTTGATACGTAGCACACATTATCTGTTGGCACACTGGTCAAAGCTTCAAATTATCATCCCATTATATGTGAATGGCAGTAAAGTCAGTATAGGTAGTCAAGAATAGGCTCATGCTTTCTTTTAATAGTTTCAGTCTGTGTGTCAACCTATAAGTAATTCTTAAAATAACATAGAGTAAGCTTGTTCAGAGTTTTGGTCCCACATTCATAAACACTGTGCTCTATCAATCTAAAATCTACTTTTTAATAATAGAGCCACTTGTATTAATTTTGAATAAAAACAAAATATTTGATTATAAACAATACTTTTACTAGTTTTGACTTCATGAATTGATTTTCTTAAAAAGTAGATAAAGATTTAACTGTGGGGCATGAACTTTTAGTGATAAGACAAAGAATGTAAGCTAGTTTAAAGACCTCCCAACATTTATTCTCTTATGATTAGATTTTCTTCACATATATATTAATGTTTCCTTACTTCCAGGAAGCCTCTTCTAAACTTCTAGGCTCAGTTAAATGTCTTAATGCATGCTCCCATCATTCTTTGCACTTATTTTTCTACATCATCTATATTTTATTGTAATTAATTGTTTACTCTTGTCTTCATCATCCAGAAAATTCTGTAAGAGTTGTCTTATTTATTTACTACCAGCTCCCCAATACATAGCACAGTTCACCACAGAGGGTAATGACTTAAAACAAATTTTAAGTGAATGAATGAATTAGTGTGTGTATAGTCTCTGACATAACATGGTAGTATTCTCATTGAACAATTCCTTAGAACCTGAGGAATAGCTAGCATGGTTACAGGCCAAATTATTAAGCTACCTTTTAATTCAACCAATATACTGTCACCATTATAAAATCAATTTGTGAATTAGTGCTTTTACCTTCCACCTGGCAAAGGGGAACATCTGGCACAATTTTGTTGTCAGTGCCAGAATCCAACCGTGAGCCATTTTGTTGACCTTCAATACCTCACTGTAACTGAGCTATGGGAAGACCATTATAAACCATGGTGACATCTGTCCTTGGCAATAAAGAGCCACGGTAACACAGCATTTATCTCAATATTCTGATTCTGAATGTATTGAGAGACATTTTATAAGAATGCACTGCAATTTAATTTAATAATGTCAACCAATATGATTAAAGCTAACTTGCCAACGTTGACAAGTTAATTTTCTCACTTCTATTTTTACTGTCTTGGTGAATAAAAATGACACAATGCACTTTAGTTGTAGATGAACAATGGTTATCAAAATATATTATTCCCTACATTATAATACAAACAATCTCTAAGAATCTTAAAGATCTTGTAGACACTTATAAACTTCTTCAGAATTTTAGGCAGTACACTTTTTATCATAACTCTCTTTTTCATTCAATATTTACTTTACTATTTAAGCCACTCTTAAATATGCTAATTTCAGTAGATTAATGGCCTAAGAACATTAAAATGAAAAGGAAATGCAGAGGTTATGATATAAATAATAAAATGTTCAAACTCATTGCCAAAGAGATGAAGGTCAAGATAAAATAGATTTTTGTCAATCAAATAACTTTTTTCATTTTAATAAAAATATCAAAAGATGGTAAAAATGTGGTGAAAGCAGAATTCTTCCACATTGTTAATGGAAACATAAAAAGTGTCAACTCTTTTGGAAAGCTAGTTGACAATATAAAATAGTTATAAGTTTAATTCAGAAATTCTTCCTATTGTGAATGATGTTAAGGAAAAATAAGCCATTTATTGATTCTGTTAAAATAATGATTGAATACCTACACAGCCTGACATTGAGGGGATATGAATATTAAGTTTTATAATAATATTTTAATTTATAATTAAAAATTTCCTTGGAGGGGAAAATCTAAGTCATCATATAGACTGAGTCCAAAGCAGTCACTTAGAAATAACCATGATTAATTTATAATTATGGTATGCCCAGGCTGGAGTGCAGTGGCACGATCTCAGCTCACTGCAACCTCTGTCTCCCAGGTTCAAGTGATTCTCCTGCCCCAGCCTCCCGAGTAGCTGGGAATACAGGCATGTGCCACCACTCCAGGCTAATTTTTGTATTTTTAGTAGAGACGGGGTTTCACCATGTTGGTCGGGCTGGTCTTGATCTCCTGACCTCAGGTGATCCTCCCACCTCAGCCTCCCAAAGTGCTGGGATTCCAGGCATGAGCCACCAAGCCCAGCCAGAAGTCCTTTTAAGAAGGTAGGAAGATGCAGAGAGATAAAGAAAAAGGCAGAATTCAAGCATTTTTGCTATGTTTGTTTGTCTCCTCAGATCAGCCTCTCTGCAGACTCACCATCACATTATAATTACCCCCAACTACAACCTTAGTCCCATAGCTTAAATGACCTCCAGGGCTGGCTGATCATAGCTAAATAATTTAAAGTCTATACTTTATATATTTAGGGAAAAATCTTATTTATGCAGTTGAACTCAGGTGTCTGTATCTAATTTGCTTCTTTATGGTGGGATGGAAGAATAGGACTCTGTCTCCCCAGGGCTCCGTTTCTTAAGAAGGAGGTATAGGTGTACAGAGAAGAAATGATAGGCATCTTCATTAATCTTACTAAGTGGATATTTTCATTAATTTGGGAACTTAAGGAAAAATATTTTAATAAGTGTAATTATTAAAGTGAATTCTAAATAAGTATTTGACTAAGGGTAGATGGATCTTAAGGAAAGTATTAATTCAAGGCTGAGAAATCTTTGATAAGCAACCTTCTAGGCTGCATATAAGGGGTGGACATGGTACTGATTCAAAAAGATCGATGTTTTTCCACAGTGGTGCTAAGAGATCAGAGAGAGACATAAGACTACTATTGTTAGCTGATAATAAGATTGGGAAATAAAGACTTTCATTATCATAAGGAATGACTTATCCATTCTGAACTTCCAGGTACTAGTGAGAGAGAAATTTTGAAACAGTAACTCTCTCGGCAAAACTCATATCACAGTACTCCACACTTTAGCTATTTCAAAATGATCTCTTCATTTCATTATTTGCATCCTAAAAACCTAAAGCACAATGGCTTCAATTCAATGGTTTTAAATAGTATTTTTTCCTCAACACAGGACTTTTACCTATAGCAAATTTAAGTGTTTTTATTAAGGTTAAACCAATTACTCCATATATCCACATATGCTTGAAAAAAAAAAGAAACCAACAACAATAACAACCACAGCGGCCAACCAAAAGCAAACAAAAACCCCTACATTTTCATTGTAGTACTTACATTATTATATAAGAACTTGACAAATTCAAACTAGAAATGGATTTACAGTTGTTAGGAAAAAGAAAGCCCCAGCTTATGGAAGGTTTTGGGATGTGATACAATAGACTAAAATAGAATTGTGATTCCTTGCTTCATTAAGAAGTTGTATCTAAATCAAAAACAAATGATTTGACTGGGGCTTTTATGGGGGGTTTGCTCCTTTTTCCAGCTTTTTACAATTTGCCCCTCAAATCTACCTGGTTTTTCCATGTCCCATTGAGTTTCTTCTTGAGTCTGCTATATTTTTCTAAGAAATCTTTTATTGGAGCCACCAAAGTCAGCTCCTGTGCTTCTAGAGAAGTATTATGTAAGATTTGCAGATGATCAAACTGAATCTCAGAAAATCAATCCATCTTACAACGTCACACACTTAGTAAGAGGAAAGTAAAAAAGAAAGATTCTAATCTCAAAGCGCGCTCTAATTTGAATGAAGCTTTAATGCTCTGCTGAACAAAGAAAGTTGATCTAGGTAAAGTACTTTCTACTTCTAAGACTATATGATTTTTTCAGTGTAGGTTTTGTTAATAGGTAAATTAAACTCAAATAAAGCATATTTTGCCTATGCAATCATCTAAAATTTATCAAGCACTTATTTATCTGTGATGAGCCCAACCTATTCTTAATATACCTCTATAGATTTATATCTACATAATACATATGCACTTTTCTGCAAAACATACTTTAAGTATATTATTTCTAAAATATTTTTCCATTTCATTTTTTCTGTTTCTGCAAAATCAAAACTGCATTTTCATACTTTGAAAGTAGCTCATGTGTTACATAATTCCACTGCAGAATGTTCTGCACCATCATGTGATGCAATTTGTGGAGTGATTTTATAAGAACAGCTCTCTGCTTGATTCTACTTCATTGCCACACAAAAATGCTGCTGTTTTTCCTTTTAAACTTTGCAGGTCACATCTTGTCTCTATAAAATAATTTCTGTATGTTAAAAAAAACACACCTACAAAATAGCATAGCTTAGGTTGCTTTGGAATTCATGATTGGATTGAAGATACTGTGCTCTAAGAAATGTATTTTTATATATTGTTATTAAGGTTTAGGTTTGGGAATAACTTGCCAAGTCATCTCAGCCAGAATCCAATTATTGATTTTGCCAGTGGTTCTGATCAAAGGTGTTGAGATTTATAGGAAATAAATGCTTTCACAGTAGTGGAGTTCTCTATAATCTCTGTGTGCATAAAGAATATACATATATTCTAGAGAAACAAGCAATCACTTCAGGCAAATTGATTTTTTTTTTCTGAAGGAAATTACAAAGTTCAAAAAACAACATAATTTATCAGAGCCCTTGAAAATGATGGTGGCTCTTTTAGATGTTGTGAGGATGGCAATGTATATTGACCTGAATATACTAGTGGAATTTAAGGAAAGAATTACACATCTGAATGTGGCGAATCAATAAGTAGAAGAGGTATGAAACTTTTTATTTTGCTTGAGATTGTATTTACCGCACTATCATCCTATCAATGGTGAAGAATTTACATTTTTGCTTAGGAATCATGATACCAAATTATCACATCTAATGTTTTATATAAATGATCCTTCTCATTGAATATTCAAAATTCAGTTTATGTGTTTCAGGATGTAGGATTCACACTGCAAACGCAGCTAAGCTCCACACATTGACAACCTAATGAATAATCACACACACATACACACACACACACACACACACATGCACACACATACATGCATGCACATACATATACAAAATCAAAAATCAAATAGAGGTAAATTTTTATAAGTCCTTATGTGATATTTTTTAATTACATGAAACAAAGAAAGAGTAGAGAATTGTATATAAATATTGTGTATACATATTATTAATAAGATGACATAAATACTTGAGATAAATAAGCAGGACCAAAGCATTTATTAATTTGAACTTTATTATTATATTTTGCAGTTTTCCTATATTCCCTGCCCCCCACCCACCAAATGTAAAGTCTTTGAGGAAAAGACTTTAGTCTCCATATTTTTTCATAGCACTTAACCCTGTACGTTATATATGGCCTGTGTTCAATAAGATAGTGTAAATAATATAATAGTGTATAATAAGATGGTATGCATTTGATTCAGATTAATTCATTTAGCTGGCTTGTACAGCATAGAATTTTTTAAAATGTTAAAATCAAGTAAGTAATCTATTCAACAACCGTTTATTGAAAGTTAGGCGCTGCTTGAGGAGCTGGGAAAACAACAGTAAAAATGTAAACATAGTCCATATAAAACGATATCAAATACAACCATCAGTGTGTTAAATACGATAATGGGAAGGCTGTGAGCACAATAAATAAGGGGTAGGGGTAATATACAAGGTTTCAAGAGACAGGCAAGGCCAGAAGATACAGAACCTAAAAGGTCTTGGTAAGAAGTCCAGAATTTTAAGTAGCATGAGAGGCCACTGGAAGATTTTGAGCAGGAACTTATTGGAATTTTTAAAAAGTCACTTCATTTGCTGGAATTGTACTAAAAAGAATAAGAGTGGGTAAGAGAAAATGAAATTGTAAAGTCACAGCAATTTTAATTGAAGATTGTTGTATAGATTTGGATGGCAAGTATTTCAGGGATGGTAAGTCAGCTCTCTTCTTACTTTAGGTTGTATATACCATTTACCTTGATCACTCAGAGCTTTTATGTCCAGTTAAGGTCCTAAACTATTCTGGCTGCTGCATTTACTTGTCAAATTAATCTTGACAATTGCTAGATCTCTGATAAAATTTTACGTAAATCTTAGCGTGTCCAGAATTGCTTTATTTCTTGATTTCCTATCTTTTTTTCAGATAAGACATGTACTTGTGACTTTTAATTTTCTATTTGCAAGTTTTTAGGGAAACCCTATCTAGTACATTAATTGTTTATTCTAATTTACAAGTGAGAAGCTAAAGCAAAGAATTTGTTAATTTACCAAAGAGCACAAAAAGGTTGGCAGAGAGAAGCAAAATGAATTAATACTTATTTTTCATCCATAATTTATACTACGTAATATGTAAAACTTACATTTTTACCATCCCATTTAATCTGCACAAAAGCCATAGGAGGTAAGAATTATTTTCCCCAATTTACAGATGAAAAACCAAAACACAGTGATTTAATTGACTTTTTCAATACTACTCAGCTGTTAAATTTTAGAGTGAGGATTTAAACACAACTTAGTTTATTATTCAAGCTCTAGCCTGTGTTCAGAGGTACTTGCTACAAATGCCTCTTCCAAATTTGAATTAAATAAATATACAGGTTAAGATTCAGTCTTTTGCGCCCTGTACAAACAAAATGCAAGCCCTCATGAGGGCTCTAGCAGTGATTCTTTGATTTCC
Source organism: Homo sapiens (assembly GCF_000001405.40). Taxonomy (NCBI): domain Eukaryota; kingdom Metazoa; phylum Chordata; class Mammalia; order Primates; family Hominidae; genus Homo; species Homo sapiens. Next base: position 95,728,704 of record NC_000006.12, on the reverse strand, counting down.
TATGAACTTGCAGGGTTCAAGCTCTTCAGTACCCAAGCCAAAACCACTTCAAACCATAAAATGTAGATGTAATTTGTTATTATTATTGTACATGAATGTATGTATGTATGTGTAGGTAGAAAAGTATACTAAAATTATATTCTACATTTTTAATTATTGAACTTTTAAACTGCAGTGTAGTAGGTAATTTTTAAAATGGTGTTGCTTGTGGCACATGTATACATATGTAACTAACCGGCACATTGTGCACATGTACCCTAAAACTTAAAGTATAATAATAATAATAAATAAATAAATAAATAAAATAAATAATAATAAAAATAAAAAGGTGTTGCTTGTTTAGGCTGTTTGTATATTGGTTCAACATGGATTAAAAGTTGATACATGGAACAAATTGCTTCTCAGGTCTCTTATGTTTGAATCACCCTAAAGACACACAATGGTTACTGAGAAATTGATAATCAATTCTACAAATCTACTGCACTTTTTTGAGCTTTCGGGTTAGGTATACTCTTAGGATCTGTCAGGATTGAAGAACATATAATAGTGTATGCTCAAGTTCATTTATTCCTAAACGTATTTGAAAGTATGCAGTTTAGAGAAAATCTATTTGGTAAAAATGCCTCCATCTCCCAGTTATATTCATTATTTTTTCTTTTATGTATTTTGACATTGACTATCTACTGAAAACTTAGATACTGACAACATACTGCTTATTTTCCAATAGCCGCAAAATCAAATTATAAGACTAATAAAAACTCCCCAAGCTATAAATGAACATTTTGAATTCATGAAATGAAATTCTGATGTCTCAATAAATCTGATGTACATGCTGGCTGCCTTTCAATGAATTTTGAAGTCATTATGGGCATTGTTCATGTGATACAATATTGTTCTTAATAGAGCAATATGGTTTCCAAAAAAACTGATTGGTGAATCAAATTAAATATCATCTCCTGTTTTTCCTCTATGAAAGAATATTATGTAGGAGTAATAGCATATTATTTTCATTATAATATTGTCAATTTGCTTATAATCAAAGAAAAATTTCCTTGCTTAAAACATCTAATAGCCCAGAAATATATAAAACCACAATTGCTTAATAATATGCAGCATTTTGCTTCTCTCTTTTATGGAAGGTCTATGAATTTTTTTCTCTGGGTCACGGAATTGAAGAAAATGACATTTGTGTGAGTATGTTTGTGATAACTATTACTGTGCTATTGCTTGTCAGCAAACTTGCTCAATGAGGTTCATAAATTAAACTACCAGTCTTGATAAGATGCTGCAAAAATTTATGTAGCTAAAATCTTTTAGTTCAATATCTTTTTCCACCAGTTTTACCCGAATTTCACGGTATCCCTAGGATATATTCGATGGATGACAAATGCAGCGTTTACGATGATCTCTCCCTTTCAGTGTGTATCTGAAAGACTTGATGCTTAAAGTTGGCTCAAGGACCAACAGACATGGACATTTGTTAGAAATAAACAATCTCAGGCCCCATTCAAAACTCACTAAATCAGAATTTTCATATTTATGAATTTCCCGAGTGATCTGCATGCACATTAAAGGTTGAAAAACACTCTCTTAATACAACACTTCCCATTTATCTTTTTCCTACCTTTAAAAGATAAATGTTCCTTAGTTACTTTGGTCCTTTTCCATAGTGAATGTGTGCTGGTTTTCTGATACGTCCTTCACAACAATTGAGGTAGAGCTTTTGCTGTAGTATAGTGTCCTGGTTATTGTGCTTTTAACCTATTAATAAGTTTTGGAGGCTGTTCTGAGAATTTTGCCTGATACCTGCATTCAAAATGAAAAATACTTCCACCTGAATGTCTTTCCTTGTCTTCTTGAAAACAAACATTTCCTTTCAAGATTGAGCTCAAGCTCCACAAATAATTATATTTGCTGGGTGCTCTACCTGAGTAATCTAAATTACACCCATAAAATAGATGCCATTATCATTCCCATTTTGTAAACAAGAAAACAGGAAGATACAGTAATGTGACAACAGTCATAGAAAGAATAAATAATAAACTAGAATTTAAACCCAGACCATATGACTCCAGAGAACTTAATATTTGTCACAATGTCAGGATACAACTGGAAATCTATTTAGAATTGCCCTATATGGTTCTGAAATCACAAGAATTTATTTCCATAAGTATTACCTTACATGACTATGTGACATTATATTACTTCACTCCTAGGTTGCATTTTCTAAGTTTCTATATTTTCCTTATACTTGTAACTTTGTCTTTCTTTCACATTTATCAATTTCATACCTCATATATAGTATATAATAATTGATTAAGCAGTTTCAAGAGTTTTACACCAAATTAGTCTGTTTTTTTATTTGTCCTTGGAACAAAGATAAACATATTCATTCATTTACTCAACAAATCACAATATAGCATTTTTGGGGGGAGCCAGGCACTGTACTAGGTACTATAGATATAGCAATGGGAAAAGAATTAGCACCTCTACATTTAGATAGGTTTCAGCTTAAGGAGAAAGACACCAATCAAATCACAATTATGTTGATGAATGTATAAGTAGAACTGATCAAAGTTTCATTGACCAGATATCAAGGCTATGACAGCATTCAGAAGTGGACTTGATCCAACATGTTCCTGGTCTGAGATGGCATCACTGAGGTAGTTTGCTTAAAAGGAGTTTTCAAGGACTGACCAGGAACTAAATGTAAAATTGGTAAGGGGAGTGCATAATGCTTGTGGTTGAGAAAACATCTCAAGCAAAGTTTCTGTGGGAAAAAGAAGGATGGCATGAAGGGAGACCTAAGAGAAGGTTTGATAATGTGCTCAATGTCTTAGTCTAATCAAAATGTCAACACGTATTTCACACTTCTAAATAGGGTTGGGCACAGCTAAGGGTTGAATTGTGCCGCCCCCCCGCCCCGCCCCACTGCCCGTAAAAAGGTATGCTGAAGTTCTAACCCCCAACACTTGAGAATGTAACATTATTTGGAAATAGAATCACTGTAGATGTAGTTAGTGTAGTGTAATATGATGTAATTACACTGTAGATGTAAGATGATGCCATACTGGAATAGGGTGGGCTCTTAATCCAATATTTCTGATGCCCTTATCAGAAGACAGTCATGTGAAGACACAGAGAAAGAATGAGAACACCATATGATGATAAAGATAGAGATCAGAGTTATGCAGCTGCAAGCATAGAAACACCAAATATTGTCAGTAAACCACCAGAAACTAGGTAGCGGCAAGGAAGGATTTTTCTACAGGTTTCAGAAGGAACATGACCCTGATGACATCTTGCTTCCAGACTTCTATTCTCCAAAGCTGTGAAACAATACATTTCTGTCGTTTTAAGGAACCCAGTTTGTGATACTTTGTTACAGGGTTTCAAAGAAACTCATACAGCACCTTTATACTGTGACCTAGAAAACTTGCTTCTGTTTTTTTTTAGTGAAAGTGCTACCAACTATAAATCCAGAAATAAAATCCAATGTATGAAATTTCTATTAGAACTTAGTGTCAAGTAGAGAAAGAAAATTTTCTGATAATGAGGCATTAAAGGCTGAAAACAATTTACAATCACAGCAACAGTATAAAATATGTAATTAGCATTTTTTGCTTCCTTATATGTGTGCATACATGTGTGTAAATTCCATTAAATGTGAAAAAAATTTACTCGGCATATTGTAAGCACATCAAATTTCATTGCATAGTGGACATTGCTTGCAAGAATTTTCAATTACCAAGTAAAACCCAGTAATTACAAAATCAATGATTTGAAAAACACCATAATCAGGAACCAGTGAATAAAGGACCCAACCAACAAAATGCATTTTAATTGTTCTCATTTAAAACTGTATATACTTTTCAAAATATTACTCTTATTTCTGAGAAACTGATCACAAAATATATCACGGTGCATGTAACTGCAAGTTCCACTTCTAGCAGAATGTTGCTGGTATAATTTGAGACATCAGGTAGTGGAAAAAATAATTTTTTGTCCACCAATGGTATAGTTCCTTTATTAGAGTCAAACATAATAACTAAACTATATAGGACAGATAATTCTTTAATGAGAGCAATTGCATTCAGGGCACAAATGGCCACATTATTTACATGGATTTTAGATGTACAGACATACAACTTCTTTCTCCCTATGTTAGGTACATGGATTTTTAACAACAGACTAATGCACATCAATATTATGTCAAATTTTCTGTTTCAAAAACTATGTGTGTTAATTTTTGTTAAGAGAATTTAATGATACATTATTCAATAAATTACTTAAAAAGATAAATTATATCCCAATTTTTCCTTGTCACCTCATAATGTATACTAATATAACTTCATGTTGATTCATTATATAATTCACAAATTATTTACAGGAACAAATTGCATAATAAAAGTGAAGATGCCACCTTGCATTTCAAATTGTAGTCCAAAAATCATGAATCACATGCTTGTATTTTGTGTATTTTTACAAATAACTTTAAAAATAAAAGATACATTTAGTATTCATTCATTCAGTACCAGGTATGAAGGATAAATGTTATATTATCACATTCTGCTTGATATATGGAGTTGAGCATTTCTTTTTTAAACTTAAAGGCAATGTGATGTTGCTAAAATGGTATTTATCTAAGCAGCTGTATACAATTATGCCAGATTTCCTTTTAAAATATTTGTAGATGGCCAGGCACGGTGGCTCATGCCTATAATCCTAGTACTTTGGGATCCTGAGGAGGGTGGATCACTTGAGCCCAGGAGTTTGAGACACAGCCTGGGCAACATGATGAAATCTTGTCTCTACAAAAAACACACACAGAAAAAAGAAAATAGCCAGGCATGTTGGTGCATGCCTGTCTCCCCAGCTACTCGGGAGACTGGGGTGGCAGGATTGCCTGAGCCTGCAGAGGTTTAGCCTGCAGTGAGCTGTGATCAGGCCACTGCACTCCAGCCTGGGCAACAGAATGAGACCTTGTCTCAAGAAAAATACAATAAAATTAAAATAAAATACAATAAAATACTTGTACACAAAAATAAGCACATCACTGAAAACTAAGACCACAAGTTAACCCTGCATCCTGTGGCAAATCTCTGCCTACTATTATGTCGATGATGCTATGGTCAAACAAGCAAACAAAAAGAAGAAAGATTTAAGTCAACAACTTAACATTATATCTTAAGAAAATAGAAAAAGAAGAATAAGCCCATTGTTAGCAGAGGTAAAGAAATAATAAACGCTGGAGGGGAAATAAATGAAATAGAGATGAAAAACAAAAAAAAATACAAAAGGTCAACAAAGTGAGAGTTGGTTTTTTTGAAAAGATAAACAAATTGACAAAGTTTTAACTAGACTAACCAAGAGAAAGAAGAGTCATTACAATTAATACCACAGAAATAAAAAAAAAATGATGAAACTATCATGTAGAATTATATGCCCCCCAAATGGATAACCTAAAAGAATTGGCTACATTCTTAGACACATGCAACCTGCCAAGACTGAATCATGGGGAAAAAAAATTCTTAACAGACCAATAATGAGAAGGAAGATTAAAGTCGTAATAAAAAGTCTCCCAACCAAGAAGAGCCCAACTTGATGGTTTCACAACTGAATTCTACTAAATATTTAAAAAACTAATGGCCATTCTCAACAAACTATTCAAAGAAATGAAGAAGAGGTAGTGCTTCCAAACTATTTTTATGAGGCCAGCATTACATTAATACCAAAGTCGAATGAGGCTATCACCATGAAAATTTATGGGCTAATACCTTTGATGATCATATATGCAAAAATCCTCAATGAAATACTAAAAAAACGGAATTTAACAACATATTAAGATATATTCATTTTTACCTAGTGTAATCTAGTGGGATATATTTCTGGGATGAAAGGATAGCTCAACATAAGCAAATCAATAAATGGGACACATCACTTTACAGAATGAAGAACAAAAATTATATGATTATTTTAATACATTTAGAAAAAAACATTTGACAAAAATCAACATCCTTGCATGGTAAAACTCTCAACAAATTAGTTATAGAAGAAATGTAGCTCAACACAATGAAGGCCACATATGAGAAATCCGCAGCTAACATCATACTCAAGAGGAGAAATGGTAAAAGCTTTTCTTCTAAGAACTGGAAAAAAGATGCCCATTTTCACCACTTCTATTCGACATTGTAGTGAAAGACTTAGCCAGAACAATGAGGCAAGAGAAAGAAATAAAAAGCATCCAAATTGAAAAGAAAAAAAGGTATAGGGTCCCTGTTTGCAAAGGAGATAATCTTATATATAAAAAACCCTAAAGATTCCACCAAAAAACTGTTAGAACTGATAAATTAAGTAAACTTGCAGGGTAAAAATCAACACACAGAAATCAGTAGCATTTCTCTACAATAACAATGAACTTTCTTTTCTAATCTTTTAAATTATACTTTAAGTTCTGGAATACATGTGCAAAACGTGCGGGTTTGTTACAGAGGTACATATGTGCCATGGTGGCTTGGTGCACCCATCAACCTGTCATCTACATTAGCTATTTCTCCTAATGCTATCCCTTCCCTAGCCCCGCCACCTCCAAAAAGGCCCCAGTGTGTGATGTTCCCTTCCCTGTGTCCATGTGTTCCTATTGTTCAGCTCTCACTTATGACTGAGAACATGCAGTGTTTGGTTTTCTGTTTGTGTGTTAGTTTGCTGAGAATGAGTTTCCAGCTTCATCCATGTCCCTGCAAAGGACATGAACTCATCCTTTTTTATGGCTGCATAGTATTCCATGGTGCATATATGCCACATTTTCTTTATTCAGTCTATCACTGATGGGCATTTGGGTTGATTCCAAGTGTTTGCTATTGTGAATAGTGTTGCAATAAACATATGTGTGCATGTGTTTTTATAGTAGAATAATTTATAATCCTTTGGGTATATACCTGGTAATGGGATTGCTGGGTCAAATGGTATTTCTGGTTCCAGATCCTTGAGGAATTGCCAAACTGTCTTCCACAATGGTTGAATTAATTTACACTCCCACCGATGGTGTAAAAGCATTCCTATTTCTCCACATACTTTCCAGCATCTGTTGTTTCCTGACTTTTTAATGATCACCATTCTAACTGGCGTGAGATGGTATCTCATTGTGGTTTTGATTTGCATTTCTCTGATGACCAGAGATGATGAGCTTTTTTTCATATATTAGTTGGCCACATAAATGTCTTCTTTTGAGAAGTGCCTGTTCATATCCTTCACCCACTTTTTGATGGGGTTGTTTGTTTTTTTCTTGTAAATTTGTTTAAGTTCTTTGTAGATTCTGGATATTAGCCATTTGTCAGATGGATAGATGGCAAAAAGTTTCTCCCATTCTGTAGGTTGCCTGTTCACTCTGATGATAGTTTCTTTTGCTGTGCAGAAGCTCTTTAGTTTAATTAGATCCCATTTGCCAATTGTGGCTTCTGTTGCCATTGCTTTTGATGTTTTAGTCATGAAATCTTTTCCCATGCTTATGTCTTAAATGATATTACCTAGGTCTTCTTCTAGGGTTGTTATGTTAAATCATTAATCCATCTTGAGTTAATTTTCATATAAGGTGTAAGGAAGGGGTCCGGTTTCAGTTTTCTGCATATGGCTAGCCTGTTTTCCCAACACCATTTATTAAATAGAGAATCCTTTCCCCATTGCTTGTTTTTGTCAGGTTTGTCAAAAATAAGATGGTTGTAGATGTGTAGCATTATTTCTGAGGCCTCTGTTCCATTGGTTTATATATCTGTTTTGGTAACAGTACCATGCTGTTTTGGTTACTGTAGCCTTGTAGTATAGTTTGAAGTCAGGGAGCATGATGCCTCCAGCTTTGTTCTTTTTGCTTAGGACTGTGATGGCTATACGGGCTCATTTTTGGTTCCATATGAAATTTAAAGTAGTTTTTTTCTAATTCTGTGAAGAAAGTCATTGGTAGCTTGATGGGGATAACATTGAATCTACAAATTACTTTCGGTAGTATGGCCATTTTCACAATATTGATTCTTCCTATCCGTGAGCTTGGAATGTTTTTCCGAATGCTTCCACCCTTGCCCATTCAGTATGATATTGGCTGTGGGTTTGTCAGAAATAGCTGTTATTATTTTGAGATATTCCATCAATACTTAGTTATTTTGAGCATTATTAGCATGAAGGGGTGTTGAATTTTATTGAAGGCCTTTTCTGCATCTATTGAGATAATCAGGTGGTTTTTGTCATTGGTTCGGTTTATGTGATGGATTTATTGATTTGTGTATGTTGAACCAGCCTTGCATCCCAGGAATGAGGCCAACTTAATCGTGGTGGATAAGCTTTTTGATGTGCTGCTGGATTCAGTTTGCCAGTATTATATTGAGGATTTTCGCATAGATGTTCATGAGGGATATTGGCCTGGAATTTTCCTTTTATGTTTTTGTGTCTCTGCCAGGTTTTGGTATCAGGATGATGCTGGCCTCATAAAATGAGTTAGGTAGGAGTCCCTCTTTTTCTATTGCTTGGAATAGTTTCAGAAGGAAAGATACCAGCTCCTCTTTGTACCTCTGGTAGAATTCAGCTGTGAATCTGTCTGGTCCTGGACTTTTTTTGGTTGAAAGGCTATTAACTACTGCCTCAATTTCATAGCTTGTTATTGGTCTATTCAGGGATTCGACTCCTTCCTGGTTTAGTCTTGGGAGGGTGTATGTGTCCAGGAATTTATCCATTTCTTCTAGATTTTCTACTTTATTTGCATAGAGGTGCTTATAGTATTCTCTGATGGTAGTTTGTTTTTCTGTGGGATCAGTGGTGATATCTCCTTCAGCATTTTTTATTAGGTCTATTTGATTTTTCTCTCTTTTCTTCTTTATTAGTCTGACTAGCTGTCTAGCTATTTTGTTAATCTTTAAAAAAAAAACAGCTCCTGGGGTCATTGATTTTTTGAAGGGTTTTTCATGTCTCTATCTCCTTCAGTTCTGCTCTGATCTTAGTTATTTCTTGTCTTCTGTTAGCTTTTGAATTTGTTTGCCTTGCTTCTCTAGTTCTTCTAATTGTGATGTTAGGGTGTCGATTTTAGATCTTACCAGATTTCCCATGTGGGCATTTAGTGTATAAATTTCCCTGTAAACACTGCTTTAGCTATGTCCCAGAGATTCTGGTATGTTGTGTCTTTGTTCTCATTGGTTTCAAAGAGCTTATTAATTTCTGCCTTAATTTCGTATTTACCCAGTAGTCCTTCAGGAACAGGTTGCTCAGTTTCCATGTAGTTGTGAGGTTTTGAGTGCATTTCTTTATCCTGAGTTCTAATTTGATTGCACTGTGGTCTGAGAGACTGTTATGATTTCCATTATTTTGTATTTGCTGAGGAGTCTTTTACTTCCAATTATGTGGTCAGTTTTAGAATAAGTGTGATGTGCTGCTAAGAAGAATGCATATTCTGTTGATTTGGGGTGGAGAGTTCTGTAGATGTCTATTAGGTTCAGTTGGTCCAGAGCTGAGTTCAAGTCCTGAATATCCTTGTTAATTTTCTGTCTCATTGATCTAATATTGACAGTGGGGTGTTAAAGTCTCCCACTATTATTGTGTGACTCTTGTTATGTTTTAGCAGAGAGATTGGTGGCATTTTGCCCCTGCCTTAGAGACTTGTGGAACTTTGAACTTGAGAGAGATGATTTAGTGTATCTGATGGAAAAAAAAAAATTCCTAAGCAGAAAAGCATTCAAGATGTGACTTGGGTGCTGTTAAAGGCATTCAGTTTTAAAAGGTAAGCAGAGCATAAAAGTTTGCTGGCTGACAATGCAATAGAAAAGAAAAACTCATTTTCTGAGGAGAAATTGAAGCTGGCTGCAGGTTGCATAAGTAACAAGGAGCTGAAATGTTAATCCCCAAGACAATGGAGAAAATCTCTCCAGGGCATATCTGAGGTCTTCACAGCAGCCCTCCCCCATAACAGGTCTGGAAGACTAGGAAGAAAATGTGGTTTAATGCACTTGGCCCAGGGTCCATGTGCTGTGTTCAGTCTAGGGACTTGGTGCCCTGCATCCAGCCTCTCCAGCCATGGCTAAAAAGGGCCAACATAGAATCAGGGCCATGGCTTCAGAAGGTGCAAGCCTCAAATTTTGGCAGCTTCCTCATGGTGTTGAGCCTGCCAGTTCACAGAAATTGAGAATTGGGGTTTGGGAACCTTTGCCTAGATTTCACAAGATATATGGAAACACCTGGATGTCAAGAAGAAGTTTGCTGCAGAGGAGGGGCTCTCATGGAGAATCTCTGCTGGGGCAGTGTGGAAGGAAAATATGGGGTCAGAGCCCCCGTACAGAGTCCCTACTAGGGCACCATCTAGTGGAGCTGTGAGAAGAGGGCCATGGTCCTCCAGACCCCAGACGGTAGATCCACTGACGGCTTGCACCATGCACTTGGAAAAGCTGCAGACACTCAATGCCAGCACATGAAAGCAGCCAGGAAGGAGGCAGCACCCTGCAGAGCCACAGGGGCAGAGCTGCCCAAGACCATGGGAACCCACCTCTTGCACCAGGGTGACCTGGGAATGAGACATGGAGTCTAAGGAGATCATTTTGGAGCTTTAAGATTTGACTGCCCTGCTGGATTTCAGACTTGCATGGGGCCTGTAGCCCCTTTGTTTTGGCCAATTTCTCCCATATGGAGTAAGTGTATTTATCCAATGCCTGTACCCCCATTGTATCTAGGAAGTAATTAACTGGCTTTGGATTTTACAGGCTCATGAGTGGAAGAGACTTGCCTTGTCTCAAATGAGACATTGCACTGTGGACTTTTGAGTTAATGCTGAAATGAGTTAAGATTTTGGAGGATTATTAGGAAAGCATGATTAGTTTTAAAATGTGAGGACATAAGATTTGGGAGGGGCCAGGAGTGGAATGATATGGTTTGTCTGTGTTCTCACCCAAATCTCATCTTGAATTCACACAATTCCCATGTGTTGTGGAAGAAACCTGGTGGGAGGTGATTGAATTATGGGGGTGGGTCTTTCCTGCACTGTTCTTTTGATAGTGAATGAATCTCATGAGATCAATGGTTTTAAAAGGGGAAGTTTCCCTGCACAAGCTCTCTTGCCTGCTGCCAACCATGTAAGGCGTGTCTTGCTCCTCCTTACCTTCTGCCATGATTATGAGGCTTCCCCAGGCAGGTGGAACTTTAAGTTCATTATAAACCTCTTTCTTTTATAAATTGCCCAGTCTCAAGTATGTCTTTGTCAGCAGCATGAAAATGAGCTAATACATAATCTGATATTAAAAATGAGCAAGGGACCAGAATCAACATTTCTCAAAAGAAAAAATACAAATAGCTAATAGTTACATTAAAAACATGCTCAATATCACTAATTATTAGAAAGATGAAAATTAAAAACCACAGTGAGATATTAACTCACACCTGTTAGAATGTCTATCCAAAAAAAAAAAAAATGGAAAGATAACAAGTGTTGGCAAGGATGCGGAGAAAAGGGAACCCTTGTACACTGTTAGTGGGAATGTAAATTAGTATAATCATTATGGAAAACAATATGGAGGTTCCACAAAAAACTAAAAATAGAATTACCATGTGATCTAGCAATCCTGCTTCTGAGCATTTCCCCCAAATAATTAAATCAGTATGTGACAGAGATCTCTGCACTCCCCTGTTTATTGCAGAACTATTCACAATAGCCATATTACGGAATCATACTAAGTGTTCCTGAGCTAATTAATGGATAAATAAAATGTGGTATTCATACACCATGGAATATTATTCAGCCTTAAAAAACAAAAAATGAGAAATTTAAAACAATGAAATTGAAGAACATCATGCTAAGTGAAACAAGCCAAACACAGAAAGATACCACATGCTATCACTTATATGTGGAAGCAGAGAATAGAATGGTGGGTTTCATAGGCCTGAGGGTAGGGAAAATGTGGAGATGATAATCAAAGTGTACAAAGCCCCAGTTAGACAGGAGAAATAGGGTTTTTTAAATATCAGTTGTACAGTGGGGTGAATATAGATAACAACTGAATTCTGTGAAGTTCAATATTCCTGAGAGAGTAATTTCTAATGTTCTTGTTACAAAAATGTAAATGTTTGAAGTGATGATATATTAAGCTAATTTAATCTTTCTGCATTGCAATAAAAATTATACCATCACTTTGTGCCCCATAAATATATACAAGTCTAATTTGTCAATATATAACAAAAATTAAAAACAAACAAACAATATCAGGTTTCAGTTTATATAACCTAGGTTCAACTCATAAAATGGACATGACCTATTAAAAATGTGTAGTCTCTCCCTAAAAAATGTTGGAGACTCCTGAGGTTTGTTATAAACAAAAAGCCTTCCAATACTCATTGAAGGAAAAGGAATATGTTTGAGGAACACAGGGTAAACCAAAACCATTATGAAAATATGACAGGGGTGACTTAGACACTTTCAGACAGCATGTGAGCATCAGTGATGATCTCTCGGTCTTTCTGGCACCTGTCTAGTACTCCAAAGTTTTTTTATTTCCATTATTTCTTTTACTTTTCTTTTCCTTTCCTTTTCTTTTCTTTTCTTTTTTCTTTTCTTTTCTTTTCTTTTCTTTTCTTTTCTTTTCTTTTCTGTCCTCTCCTCTCCTCTTCTTTTCTTTTCTTTATTATTATTTTTTTTTGAGACAGAGTCTCACTCTGTCACCCAGGCTGGAGTGCAGTGGTACGATCTCAGCTGACTCCAACCTCTGCCTCGTGAGTTCAAGCGATTCTAGTGTCTCAGTCTCCGGAGGAGCAGGGATTATCAGCATACACCACCACACCTGGCTAATTTTTGTATTTTTAGTAGCAATGGGATTTTGCCATGTTGGCCAGGCTGGTCTTGAACTCCTGACCTCAAGTGATCCATCCATCTCAGCCTCCCAAAGTGCTAGGATTACAGGCATGGGTCACCATGCCTGGCACTTTCCACTATTTCATCCCAAACAATTTATGGTGCAAACGTAGTGTGAGATACTTTTATTTGAAATTGGAAGTTTATTAAAAATATATTTAAAACACAGATCCATGTAGGTAAAATTTATCTCTCTGCGTAGGATAGCTAAATATTTTTCTTAACAATGTTTTGTCATATTGATGTATACATGTGTGTCTATATATACATAAACATTATTATTAACCTTAGACTCCTTTAACCAAAGAAAAATTCCAATTTAAATATTTGTACCTAATTAACTTATAGAACAGGTATTCAGGTCCCTACTGTGTACATGAATGCATTTTCAATTAGTAAGAAAGACTATTCGATATTCTAACATCTCACAGTTATATTTTCTGATCCACAACTCCTTTGGCTTGGCTTCCTGTATAGTTGTTTTAATGCTTCAATTACCTTTTATAGGGCCTAGAAAATCAGTTCCTTTCTAACATCCATCTTATTTTATGTGCCGCAAATCATGATATGTTAAATAAGAGTTTCCGATAATCAGCACAAGCTGGGAATATCTGTTTCACACCATTTCTTATAAAAGACCTTATTTCCATAAACCTAATACTAGATATTAAGATAATTCTACTCCTCTGGGGGGCTAAGTGGGAATCAACCTTGCATGCACACTGTAGTTATGATTCCCCTGGCCGATCTGCTAATCTATTTTTAAATTTTACTCGAAATAAGTTGCTTCTAATTGTCTTTAGTATTTACTGCTGCAAAGTACTGGGAGACTATTGATTATTTAGCAAAACTTCACAATAATGAAAATGTTCTTGTTTGTTTAGTATGCCATAGTAATTTGATTAATGAGCTTTGTTAGTGTATTATCTTTGAAGGCATTTCCAAGGTGATATGTTAGTATATTTTGTTTCTGATCTCTCTAGCATCCTGGGAAGATGGGTATAACTGTTTGTAGTTTTTAGTGCTTCCAACTTAACTTGACAGGTACTTATTTTACAATAAGAGATCATTGATCCACAATTTTAATGAAATAAACTTTTAAAATCTATATTTAAAATATAATCTGGATTTTATTTTGTAAAGCTATATATGTGAGAGAACAAAATTATGCATGGATTTTATCCTGTTTATATTATTTCTCTATTTTAAAAATTATATATTTACTATTAAAATTACATTTTATTTTTAAAATATACATGTTCTATATTACATAGCATCTATAACATGAAGTATGCTTAGTAATTCTGGATAATTTCTCTTTTCAAGGTATGGGAAATATTCTTTAAATGTAATTGAGTTGTTTTTCCTAAAGAGTTGTATGTATAACATAGCTAAGTGCACAGCAAAAAACACAATTATTATGTAAGACATTGGTATTTAATTTTATATCCTTACACTCAAGGACTGTATTTAAAGTACTTAACAAGTGTGGTATAGGCACTAACAAATCAGAAAAGACCTTGGCTGTAGGGCTGATGCAGAATGTTAAAAGCCAGTTCCCCCATCTGCCATGCATTACCCCTTTGTTGTTACATCTGAGGACATCTAACAGAGGGTCCCAAGAAGAGTCCCTCTTGGCTAAAACAGCAGAAACACTCTCAGGAGGCTCAGGACAGTGGCTTTTTAGTTACTAGTATCACTATTTTAACTGCTAGTGCAGCTGTTCTGATCCATATGAGGTGAATGCAACCTCTGCGTATGACTCCTGTATCTACTTCGTGGGAAAGTCAATGGGCCACAATATAGGCAGAAAGAATCTCATTCTTTATTCCTTCAGAAAGGGAAAAAGGAAAAATGAATGTCTAGTTTCCTTTACCTGCACGTGAAGGTAAAGAGCTTAACAGTATACTCACATTCATTCAAGACGGGACACAGAGCTCTCTACACCATGATGAGTAAAAGTATTCACCAGCTGGAATTTTGATACTGAAATTTAAGGAAGATTTTGGGTATTTAAAAAAGGCACAAACAATTATAATTCAGGGAACCAAGTTCAGTGGCAGGATCATGCAGAGTATTTGGTGCTCAAGAAGAGACTAGGAGATAGGGGAGCTCTTGAGGTTTCCTGGAGGAAATGTCATCTTAGCCTACTCTGTTTTTGCTTCATTTTTTGTGGCAAATATATAAAGCATAAAATTTAAATTCAAACTCAACCATTTTTGTGTGTATGGTTCAATAATATTGGATATATTTATAATCTTGTGCAACCATCACTACCATCCATCCTCATAACTCTTCTCATTTTATAAAACTGGAACTCTATACCCATTAAATAATAACTTATTCTCCCCTCCCCTCAGCTTCTGGCAACCACCAGTCAGCTTTCTGTCTCTATGATTTTGACTACCAAAGTACCTTATATATATGGAATTATACAGTATTTATCTTTACATGACTGGCGTATTTCACTTAGCCTAAATGTACTCAAGTTTCATTCATGTTGTAGCATGTGTTAGAATTTTCTTCCATTTGAAGGCTGAATAATGTTTTATTGTGTATATGTACTACATTTTGCATATCCATTCATCCATTCATAAGCAAATTTTTTGCTTACATGTTTTAACTATCGTGAATAATGCTGCTATAAACATGGGTGTACAACTATCTCCTAGAGACCCTGCTTTCAATTCTTGAGACGTATATACCCACAAGGAGAACTGCTGGATCATATAATAGTTTTATTATTAATATTTTCAGTAAATGTCATACTTATTTCCACAGTGACTGTACCATTTTACATTTCCACCAACAGTACCCAAGGTTCTAATTACTCTATATCCCCATACTTGTTATTTTTTAAATATTAGCCATTGTAATGTGTATGAAGTGATATCTCATTATAGTTTTGATTTTCATTTTCTAATGATTACTGATATTGAACATCTTTGCATGTGCCTATTGGCCATTTGTATATCTTCTTTAGAGAAGTATCTATTCAAGTCCTTTGCTCATTTTTTACTTGGTTTTTTTTTTTTTTTTTTTGGTCCAGTTTTAAGCATTCTTTATATATTTTGGATATTAATTCCTTATCAGATAGATGATTTGCAAATATTTTTCCCATTTGGTGAATTTCTGTTTTATTCTGTTGATAGCCAGTTTTGGTGTATAAAATTTTTAATTTTCATGAAGTCCAATTTGTCTAGTTTTCTTTTGTTGACTATGCCTTTGGTGTCATATTTTAGAAATTGCTGCCAAATCCAATGTCATGAAGCTTTGCCCTATGTTATCTTCTTAGCATTTTATAGATTTAGGTTTTACAAGTAGATCATTAATCCATTTAAATTTAATTTTTGTATATGGTACTAGGAAGCAGTCCAACTCCATGCTTTTGTATGTGGCTATCCAGTTTACCCAGCACCATTTTTTGAAAAGACATTTTTGCCCCATTGAGTGGTCTTAGCATCATTGTCAAAAATCATCTGACCCTAAGTCTAGTCTTAAAGACGAGTATAAATTAATGTGGTAATCAGATGAGTGTTGAAGGGCTGGGTGGGGGTGGTAGTTAAGAAAATCATAGATATAAAATATAAATATATATATATATAATAACAGTATCATTATATGGTCTGGGAACAACAAGATATTCAGAAATCCAGGAACATAGGATGAAAGGGAAGAAGTTCTAGGTTGGTGAAGCTAAAAATATGCAAAAGGTCCAGGTCATGAAGGCTTTTAAAAGTTGTTTGGAGTTTATCCTTAAATAAATGGGAAGGGTTTGGAGGCAGGTGAACAAGAAATCATATTTATATTTTAGAAAAATCACACTTTCTGAAGTGGCAAAGCTGGTTTGGAGGGAAGAAAATAGGAGGCACAGAGACAACTTAAGAGGCTGTAGGAGTAACCTGGGTAAGAGATGACCTAAAATAGAGAGGCTTTTACTGAGTAAAATTTGGTTGGCCTCAAAGGATATGAAAAAAGTAGGGTTGATAAGCTTTGATACTCAGTGATGGGTAAGGGAGAAGAAGCAAGGATGACTTCCAAATTTCAGGTCCAGGCAACTAAGTGGAAGCTAGATATTCTCAGTCTTAACCATAGTGCTTCCCAAGTCCATATACCGTGAGTACAGGTTTATAGGAACATTCATAATGTGCCATTGCAGAACAGAAAACTAATAGCCAACCACTGTGCTTATCTCAACACAAATATGGTATGCCCTAGAAATGATCGAAACCCAGTTCACTTCCTAAAATATTTTGCATCTGGTTGTTAAAATACTACTTTAGAAAATCAAGGTTAGGTTTGAATAATAAGACCCACTTCCTCACACCCTAGCAGTGTTTGATGCAAGAGTAAAAGCAATTGCATATAGGTGAAAAATATTTAAGTATTCCTTGTGCTTAGTAGCTTAAATGAAATATTGAAGGCCTCATGGTTTTCTCCCACTGATATCTATAGAAGGCTTTCAAGACAGAATTAAAGAAGAGGAAAAAAATCATATTCGCCTCTGGAAATAGGAAAGGAAAACATTAAGGATAAAAAAAAGAAGCAATAATATTTATTTTCAAAGTGCTTTGTTTATTGTTGGTTTTGTTTGTATTTTGCTTTGTTTTACTTGGCTTTTTGGCCCAAGCACCTTAATGTGTTGTATCCCCAAATACTGCATAATGTTATATCACAATGAGGCATACATACCTCACACACATACATGTTCTCAGAGTATTTTTAAAAATCACTCTAAGATGGGCATGAGTGGGAATCATCCATGGGTACAAAAATATAGTTAGACAGAGTGGTTAAGATCTAGTATTTGATAGCACAACAGGGTGACTACAATCAACAATAACTTATTGTATATTTTGAAACAACTAAAAGAGTATAATTGGATATTTTGTAACACACAAAAAAAGGATAAATGGTTGAGGTGATGGATACCCCATTTACCCTGATGTGATTATTACCCATTGTATGCCTGTATTAAAACATCTAATGTACCCTATAAATATATACACCTACTATGTAGCAACAAAAAATAAAAATAATTTTTTAATTAAAAAAGAAATCACTTTGAAAGACATAAACTCACTCTATCTTCTCTGACAACTTTTTATTACTCTTGGTAACCAAGAATATTACAATATAAGAAAAGATATTGTAAACACTAAACAAAACAATTTCTTTTTTTATTATTATTGTTATACTTTAAGTTTTAGGGTATGTGTGCACAACGTGCAGGTTTGTTACATATGTATACATGTGCCATGTTGGTGTGCTGCACCCATTAACTCGTCATTTAGCATTAGGTATCTTTCCTAATGCTATCCCTCCCACCTCCCCCCACCCCACAAGAGTCCCCGGTGTGTGATGTTCCCCTTCCTGTGTCCATGTGTTCTCATTGTTCAATTCCCACCTATGAGTGAGAACATGTGGTGTTTGGTTTTTTGTTCTTGTGATAGTTTGCTGAGAATGATGGTTTCCAACTTCATCCATGTCCCTACAAAGGACATAAACTCATCCTTTTTTATGGCTGCATAGTATTCCATGGTGTATATGTGCCACATTTTCTTAATCCAGTCTAACATTGTTGGACATTTGGCTTGGTTCCAAGTCTTTGCTATTGTGAATAATGCTGCAATAAACATACGTGTGCATGTGTCTTTATAGCAGCATGATTTATAATCCTTTGGGTATATACCCAGTAATGGGATGGCTGGGTCAAATGTTATTTCTAGTTCTAGATCCCTGAGGAATCACCACACTGACTTCCACAATGGTTGAACTAGTTTACAGTCCCACCAACAGTGTAAAAATGTTCCTATTTCTCCACATCCTCTCCAGCACTTGTTGTTTCCTGACTTTTTAATGACTGCCATTCTAACTGGTGTGAGATGGTATCTCATTGTGGTTTTGATTTGCATTTCTCTGACGGCCAGTGATGATGAGCATTTTTTCATGTGTTTTTTGGCTGCATAAATGTCTTCTTTTGAGAAGTGTCTGTTCATATCCTTCGCCCAGTTTTTGATGGGGTTGTTTGTTTTTTATTGTAGATTTGTTTGAGTTCATTGTAGATTCTGGATATTAGCCCTTTTTCAGATGAGTAGATTGCAAAAATTGTCTCCCATTCTTTAGGTTGCCTGTTCACTCTGCTGGTAGTTTCTTTTGCTGTGCAGAAGCTCTTTCGTTTAATTAGATCCCATTTGTCAATTTTGGCTTTTGTTGCCATTGCTTTTGGTGTTTTAGACATGAAGTCCTTGCCCATGCCTATGTCCTGAATGGTATTGCCTAGGTTTTCTTTTAGGGTTTTTGTGGTTTTAGGTCTAACATGTAAGTCTTTAATCCATCTTGAATTAATTTTTGTATAAGGTGTAAGGAAGGGATCCCATTTCAGCTTTCTACATATGGCTAGACAGTTTTCCCAGCACCATTTATTAAATAGGGAATCCTTTCCCCATTGCTTGTTTTTCTCAGGTTTGTCAAAGATCAGATAGTTGTAGATATGTGGCATTATTTCTGAGGGCTCTGTTCTGTTCCATTGGTCTATATCTCTGTTTTGGTACCAGTACCATGCTGTTTTGGTTACTGTAGCCTTGTAGTATAGTTTGAAGTCAGGTAGCATGATGCCTCCAGCTTTGTTCTTTTGGCTTAGGATTGACTTGGCGATGTGGGCTCTTTTTTGGTTCCATATGAACTTTAAAATAGTTTTTTCCAATTCTGTGAAGAAAGTCATTGGTAGCTTGATGGGGATGGCATTGAATCTGTAAATTACCTTGAGCAGTATGGCCATTTTCATGATATGATTCTTCCTACCCATGAGCATGGAATGTTCTTCCATTTGTTTGTATCCTCTTTTATTTCGTTGAGCAGTGGTTTGTAGTTCTCCTTGAAGAGGTCCTTCACATCCCTTGTAAGTTGGATTCCTAGGTATTTTATTCTCTTTGAAGCAATTGTGAATGGGAGTTCACTCATGATTTGGCTCTCTGTTTGTCTGTTATTGGTGTATAAGAATGCTTGTGATTTTTGCACATTGATTTTGTATCCTGCGACTTTGCTGAAGTTGCTTATCAGCTTAAGGAGATTTTGGGCTGAGACGATGGGGTCTTCTAGATATACAACCATGTTATCTGCAAACAGGGACAATTTGACTTCCTCTTTTCCTAATTGAATGCCCTTTATTTCCTTCTCCTGCCTAATTGCCCTGGCCAGAACTTCCAACACTATGGTGAATAGGAGTGGTGAGAGAGGGCATCCCTGTCTTGTGCCAGTTTTCAAAGGGAATGCTTCCAGTTTTTGCCCATTCAGTATGATATTGGCTGTGGGTTTGTCATAGATAGCTCTTATTATTTTGAGATACGTCCCATCAATACCTAATTTATTGAGAGTTTTTAGCATGAAACGTTGTTGAATTTTGTCAAAGGCCTTTTCTGCATCTATTGAGATAATCATGTGGTTTTTGTCTTTGGTTCTGTTTATATGCTGGATTATGTTTACTGATTTTCGTATGTTGAACCAGCCTTGCATCCCAAGGATGAGGCCCACTTGATCATGGTGGATAAGCTTTTTGATGTGCTGCTGGATTCGGTTTGCCAGTATTTTATTGAGGATTTTTGCATCAGTGTTCATCAAGGACAAAACAATTTCTACATAATGGAGAGCTGTGAGAATATATTTTACAATGATAATTGTATGGCAAAACAAAAGCTGTGGTTAATTAGACCTCCAATGAATTTCCAGTGCTCTTCTTTTCCCTCAGAAAGTTCTACTCAAGATAACCTAATTAAATAATGCTGTGAAGCCTGAGCTGCAATGTTTCAGACTACTTCTGAGACAATGAATAGCAGTTCACAAATGGTGCAGTTCAGTCACAGCTCCTGACCTCAATATATGGCTCAACAGTGCACATAAATTAGATCTAATTTTATCATGTTCCTGAGGGGTTCTTTTCCTCCCTGTCTGAAACCCTCAGTTATGATGTCTCTGATGAACCAGTATGCTTCCATGACTGACATTTGGCTCCTGGTTTTAAACAATATTGCATTCCATAAAGCAAAATCAAAAGTAAAATCAAAACTCAAATATGTTGACATGGTGATACTGGTGAGTTGGGGTAGCTCTCCAAATGCCAGTGGGACCTCAACTCCAGCCCGTGTGTCCAGGCTCTTGACACTGTCATGAGAAGGAATTCAAGGACAAGTCAGAAAACAGTGAAAGTACGGAGATCACATATTAATATTTGAAAGTGAAAAGTACACACTCTAGAAAGGGGAGTGCAGGCATACTTAAGAAAGAGTCATGAAGAGGGGCTTAGGGTTTCTGTGTTTGTGGGTTTCCTTAACCAAGAGTTGGAATATCCATGAAGATTCCTGGAAAAAGGTGAAAGTTTCTTGGAACTCTAGTACCACCTATTGTTACACCAAATACAGGTGTTCCTGGAACTGTCATGGCACTGGCAGGTGTGTGATTTTAGTATGTTAATGAGTGTATAGTGAGGTCCTAGGTGAAACTTAGTTCAAACCCAGAACCATGTTGGGTCCAGTTGATCTTAGCTATCTTGCCTCACACCCTGGTGTTTCGAGGTTTTATCAGCCCTTAGTTTATGCATTTATTTCAACAGTTTCTTTTTGCTAGTCATGTGAAACTGCTGCCTGGAATTTTCTGTTCTCCTGTGACCACCCTGTATTATTCCTGTCTCAATGGTAATGTTATAAAGCAATCGGGCAAAAGAAACAAATCATGCAGACTGAAGAATGCAACTTAATTAAATGATGTATTCTTGCATGTCTTGTTTAGTCTTAGATTTTAGTGTAAGTTATTTTCCTTAATATACTTATGATAACTGAAGTTCAAGCTATCCAGAAAGAATAACTCAGAGATAACTTTTCAAGATATCTCCTGAAGTCCTACATGATCTTGAAATGGATAGGATCAAAATGCCATAGCTAAACTGTTGATTCAAGATACTATTTTTTCTTAAAAATGGAAAATAATTCACTAAATTTATTAAATTCTAGTACATCTATATGTCAAACAGAATAAAATGAGTTGACGACTCTAAGGATTCAGGATCTCTGTCTTTAGAAAGACTTTACCTAAAGGGAAAAAAGTATTGTTTACAAATATCTACAACCCAGGATTCTATGCAACTGGCATTGTAAAATGCGTGAATTAAAAATGTATAGTAATTCAAAGATAAAGATACTATTTTTTCCTCAAAGTATTAAAGAAGGCAGAATACAGTGGAAAATGTCATGCTTCAATTCACCCTTAATAATGAGTACGTTTTGAAATACTGGGATTTCGATAAGGCTAATACAATCTATATATACAGGAATCACAAGGGACTTGGGAGTGGGAAATATGCTTAAAGAACATTCAGTGGTTCAGCCTGGCACCAGGTAAGGAGGACTAATTCTGTAGAGTCATAGAAAACAAAGCTAGAAAAGGAGGTCAGAATCAGAATGATTTGGATATTGAATATCGGGATACTTGTGTGTTTACTGAGTTTATTTAATATTGTCAGATGGTATTTTTTAAAAAAAGTAACAAAACAATAGATGTACTATAACTCTGTAAAGTAATTTAAAAAGTTGTATGCACAGAAAATATAATAAAAAAGAATCAAAATTTTTAATTTTTTAAAAAAGTGTATGTGTTTTAACAAATCAAAAATAATATATATAGATTCATTTATTAAAGTATTTATAATGATAAATTAATATATGCTCAAAGAAGAAAATACTACTGTTTAAAACATGGAAAAGTAAGTATACACACACACACACTCTCTCTCTCTCTTTTGCTAGTAATCCAATCAACTGAAGATAATGTTTTAATATTTTATTTCATACTATTTGATGTGTATTAAAAATAATTCAAATATACACTTCTTTGAAGATTGTTGCTTTCAATTTAAATATTAATATGTGATGAAAATGTACCAATGTCAAAAAATGTGCACTGATTTTTTTCTTAAATAAAATAAGTTAAGAACACCTGAAAAATCTTCAAGTCCAAGTAAATGCTAGATCAAAATATGACAAGTTGCTTTAAAACATATGGTTGATCTTGCAGGAGCAAAATGGAAAGTCAGGCAAGAAACAAAGTACATTCAACAGATGCTGGATTTTAGTAGTAGGTATGGAAAGATTTTAATAAATCCCTATTTTGGCACATTTGTTTCCAATTTTGTATTTTAAATAAGCTGTGATTTAACTCTTCATAATTGTACATATACATTTGATTCGTTATTTTGGAAAAATTCCTAGAAATGTTGGCTCATATGACATATACATTCTTTAAAGCTTTATGCATGTTTTGATAAGTTCCTGTTCAAAATGGCTGAACCAATGTATATTCTAACAACCACAACAACTTTGTATTGACACTTACCATGTCAAGTACATTACATAAAAATCCCGTATATTAGCCTCCCAAGGAATGTGTCCCAGAGTCAGAAAATATATATAGAAAGACTAATAAAGCTTAAAGCATAGAAATTAAACATATTTGCATGTTTAATTAGTTGATGCAGTAACTAATAATCTAGGAATTTTAATCCACAAGCTTATCTCTTTTCTAAAACCAATGATCTCAACAATTATATGTCTCTAATGCCACCATAAAGAAGAGTGTCAATTTCTTTATGTGGTTCCCCTTCCTGGCCTTTACCATTCTTTTGAATTTTTGCCAATCTGTAGGGGAAATGGTATCTCATTCTACTTTTCATTTCTTTGATAATGAGTAAAGGCCAAATATTTATTTTAATATTTACTAACAATTCACATTTCTAATTTTGCATTTGCTTATTCATGAATAGGAAGGCTGTCCTTTCCTTCTTTACTTGTAAGAACTTTGAACTGTGTGAGCATCAATGTCCTTACACCTATATTAAGGGTATTTTCTCAAATACATTGTTAATAATTTTAACTATAAGTTTTACCATACAAATATGACTAATTTTTATACTTTAAGATTCATCAGTCTTTCTATATATATTTTCTGACTCTGGGACAAATTCCTAGATGGACATTGTCTTTTGAATTTTATATACACTTTATATTCATGATCTACTTTTAGAAGCATAAAGAGAAAAAAGTAATAAGTGTGATGATCTAAGGTTATTAATTATTTTTCTTTTTAACATTTGAAACTTTCCTTTGCACCACATGCACTTTGCCCTACTCTGTCCTTCTGCCTGAAGAAGATTATAAGTTGTTACAAAAGGAATCAACGGGAAAGATTCAGCTTTTGACGTTGAAAAATGCGATTTGGAAGCAAGTCAATAACCTTGACAGTGATGGTAGTGTCATGAGAGAAGATTGTTAAATTCCTTTATCTCTGTTTTGCATGGCAAGAGCTAGGTTGTGTGGGCTAAGCCATAGAATTCCACATAGGAAGAGCAAACAGGGAAGCTGGGTCTTTTCTGACCCTAGGGAAACTAAAGGAGTAACAGATGAGAAGCAGAGGACAGAGAAATGACTAGCAGACAGATGTTCTGATTTCCGTTTTTTAGATCTTTTTTAGAAAGAGGCATTTATATTAGCATGTTATATGGCTTGGCTCTGTGTCCCCACGCAAATCTCATCTCAGACTGTAATTCCCGCATGTCAGAGGAGGGGCGTGGTGGAAGATGGTTGGATCATGGAGGCGGATTTCTCCCTTGCTGTTCTCCTGATAGTCAGTGAGTTCTCATGAGAGTTGATGGTTTGAAAGAGTGGCACTTCTCCCCTTTGCTCTCTCTCCTGCTGCCATGTAGGGTGTGCCTTGCTTCCCCTTCACTTTCTGCCATGACTGTGAGTTTCCTGAGGCCTCCCCAGCCATGTGGAACTGTGAGTCGATTAAATCTTTCTTCATAAATTACCCAGTCTCAGGTATTTCTTTATAGCTCTGTGAAAACGAACTAATACAGAGTGGAAAACAATAGGTCATTAGTTATTTGGAAAGCTGAGGGGCATGGTACCCATTACTCAGCAACAGATTTATCACAGTAACTTTGGTACTGTCCAGCAGAAGGAAGCATTTGAGTGTTCTCTAAAAATCCTTTGTTTATTTTATTTTATTTCATTTTATTTTATAGAACCAGAAACATGTCAGAGGCTTGCTGGAGTCCCTACTGTAGTACACCCTGGCTGGGATCAAAGACAGTAACACTCAGATTGCAGATGAGTTATATAAACAAATCCTTAGGTAGATCCAGGCTCATTAGGAACTGCCATGAGGACTGTTTCTAGAGCTGAGGGTGGACCCCAAGGTTAATAGACCACAGACTTAAGCATTAGAAGCCAGGGACACCTAAACATAAAACACACATAGGATTTACCTTTCAAATGACACATCAGCTGAGCTGGCATGAGGCCAGGTGGCTGGTCCACCCAACACAGTGCTTCCTACTACTAGATGTTTGTCTTATGGTGAGAATCAATGAGATGTGTTAAAAGAAAATGTTTAGGCAAGCTCAATTTAATAGAGTTTAATTAAGCAAAGGACAATTTGTGAATTGGGCAGCCCTCAGAACCAGACTAGGTTCAGAGTGATTCCAGGGCTGCTACATGGTTGGATAACATATATGGACAGAAAAAGGAAAATAGCATATAGAAAATGGAACTAAGGTACAGAAACAACTGGACTGGTTAGAGCTGGGCATTTGCCTTACTTGAACCTGTTTTGAACAGGTGGGCACCTGTGGGTGATTGAAGTTTGCATGCTGTGGTGGGCTAAGACTGGGCTATTTGTCACACAAATAGGTTACCATCTATTTACACATCAAATTAAGTTACAGTTCACTATGTACAAAGAAACTTTTAGGCCAAATTGAAAATATGTATGAAGGCAGCTCTACAACAAATTTAATTAAACAGTCTATCTGAAACATGGTTTAATATTATGATCAATCCAGGCTTTAAACTGGACAAGATATTTAGTTGATCTTTCTCCTACCAACCAATGAATGGTTTCTCATGAAAGAGACCAGAGCTGCTAATGAGAAATAAAGGGAACAGGTAATTTTTTCTTTGTACCAAAGTTGTAGAGAGTTAATATGCAATCCAACTAACTATCTTTTTAAAAGATACTGGACCATCAAAATGCAGAAATAGGTTTTAAGAAAATGAGTAAAAGTATTTTTGAGTGTGTGTATTTCTAAAGATGCAGTAAACATTCAAGACTTTCCAGTTTCACTTTAGCTTAGTTATGTGGGAAAGGATAAATGACCAATCCACATTTTTGTTTTATTCACATACTTCACCTCATAAAACATAGGCACGGAGAAAGAGAGAATTTTCACTGCTCAACTAATATGAATCATTACTAATCTTGTTTTCTGTTGTAGGAAACTCTCAAATGCCAAAATCACAATGAGTTATGAGAGAGAAAAATCTGTGCATTCCTATTCATAGAGAATACACATATTTTTTAACAAATAGATTTTCCTTTAATCTGTCTCTGTAACTTAAGTCTTCCAATTTAAAAAAAAATCAATATATAGGAAATAAATACAATATGTCAACACATATAATCTGGATTATATGCAATTGTTTTGCATATATGTAAGAATCTTTACTGAACCAAATACAGGTAACAATTCTGACATTAACATAATTTGTTCTTGGTTTTAAATTTCAAAAAAAGTCAGTATGCAGTCTTTCCCCATTGAACTGTGAAAAGTGAGGATGGTTAGAATGAGAAAATGCCCTATAGGTAAATTGTCTGTGATCTTTGATTTTTTGGCTTGCCTCTTATAACTCCATAAGGAAAACACCTGTGTAATTGCTTTTCATTAAATAATATGGGTCAATAAGATGGGCTCTTATTTAAGTATACCTTGCATACTTACTGGGTATGCAAGCAGTCTTATTAATTTGTTTTGGGAATGTACTTCTGATTATTCTGGTTACATCTGCCATAGTTGTAGGCCATTCTAAACGATACACAAGATGAGGTACTCTGATTTCTGCCATCACAAGATTCACACTGGAACTTAAAACACACAGGAGCAATAATGTGGGGTTTAAACAACTCCAATTGTTTCAAGATTACTTTTTACAGACTAGGGGTGATAGCTTGACCTTTTTATTCAATTTAATGGTAGTAATTTTTTATCATTTGCTTTATCCTAGGAAGTCCTAAAGGATAGCAGTGTCATATGAACCTGAATAGTTTTTTCAGCCCTAAAGGGGAATTAGCTAGGCTCATCAACCCTGTGGGCAACAACGCAACCTCTAAGAAAGAGATTTATTGATTGAAAAGATAATTCACCAGCCCTTTCATATAAAGGGTTTTTTCAACAACTACAGCAGAAAGGTTCAAAGGCCAGTAGCTTATATTTTATGCTGCCAAACTGCAACTTAAATGAACTCTCATTTTGATTTTACCAGTTTTTTCTCTAATTTTCTCTTTTACTTTGAGGAGAGATTAGTGAAAAAATAAGAATACTAAAAATAACAGCCAATATATGATAAATACTATATTTCAAAGATGGCAGAATTGAAATACATTCAAAATTTGTATTTAATATTTGCCCAATTCAGATATCAGAACCAATGCTTCTACTTTTAATTTCTTTCTGTAATCTACTATGTGGTATTGCTCTATAGGCAGTGCTGGATTTTCTTCCTCAGTCAATCTAAAGCATGAATTCAATAGATTGAATTATTACTCTAAGTAGGTACAGTAGTATTTATTTTAAAAGTAATAAAAGGGAAACGCTTAGATATTTAGGCATAAATAGATACTTCAATAGTCAATGAAGTATTACCTAGAGTAATTGATCTCCAGTAATTATAATTTTTGCACAGTGTGCATGCCAATCTCACACAAATTTGACCAGTCATCCAAATGTTCACTTATTACCTAACTTATATTCTTTTAAAAAAGATGATAACTACTTCAAAGTGTAGCTCTCTCTACTGTAAAATGCAAAATTAACCAGTTCATTTCAGACTTTGATTTTAGATAGCTTAATTATGCTGTTTCCATCACCATGAAGAAACCACTGCTAATACTTTTCTTCCACAGTTATTATTACAAATGAGCATAAGTTTGTAGTTTTATGAAAATTAGCAAAAGTACAAACTAATAGAGTTGTGTTTCTCCTCCTCCTCCTCCTCCTCCTTCTTCTTCTTCTTCTTCCTCTTCCTCTTCTTTGTTCTTCCTCTTCTTTCTTCTTCCTCTTCTTTCTTCTTCTTCTTCTCCTTCTTTTCTGAGACAGAGTCTCACTCTGTCACTCAGGCAGGAGTGCAGTGGTGCAATCTAAGCTCACTGGGACCTGCACCTCCTGGGCTCAAGCTATTCTCCTGCCTCAGCCTCTCAAGTAGCTGGGATGACAGGTGCGCACCACCAAGCCTGGCCAATTTTTTGTATTTTTAGTAGAAATGGGGTTTTGCCATGTTGGCCAGGCTCATCTCGAACTCCTGACCTCAAGTGATCCACCCATCTTTTGGCTTCCCAAAGTGCTGGGATTACAGGCATGAGCCACTGTGCCCAGCCTAGTTTCATAAAGATGATTTTATTGTGATGTGGTAAAGTTATTTTGTTTTTGCTATTTTTGATTAGCTGGGAACAGAATGCCTTTAATGAGAAAATTTTGGGCTTTTTGTTTTGTTTTGTTTTTTAAGAAACTATTTTGATAAGCTCCTTGTGGGAAACCTTGAGGAGTAAGGGATGTAGGTTAGCACAAAGTAAGCAGCAAAAGTGATGGCAGAACTTCCTTTCATAAGGAAACAACAGTGGGTTGGTGAAAGGTGGAGAAAAAGAAGAGAAAGAAAAGGAGCAAGATGGTGAAAGCTGGGGCCTTGTATAAGTTCCACAATCTTCCAGAAACCTCATGTAAAGTTTTCAAAATACATAAATACCTTGTAAATGAAGCTTATTTGATGTGACTTGAGGAGGAGCTGAACTCTAGATAGTATTAAGCTAATGTAAGTGAAACATGAGATAAATGGCCTTAAGATCCCTAAAGTAAGCGAATTCAGCTTGGTTCTGAGCAGGATGTCCAAATCAGATGTGAGCTAAATCCTAATTGACTTCACAAACACACACAGGCACATACGTGTGGGGGGATGGGAAGGGAGCTAGGAGGGAGAGAAAGAGAAAGGGAGAGAAGGAGAAAAGAAAAAGGAGGAGGAGGAGAAAAAGAAGGACAAAGAAGAGGAAGAGAAGAAACAAGAAACATAAAGAGCATTATATTTTCAAAAGACATAAATAATGGTTCAAGCAATCATACATAAATTTTAAAAGGCAAAAAAAGCTATCAAACTTGACATTGATGCTGCAATGAATTAAGCAAATTAATTAAAATGTATGATGAAAGTCTGATGAAATCCCAATCAAAATACAAGTAAGTTATTTTCAGTGTATCAACAAAGCAAATCTAAAGTTTATATGGAAAGGTAAAATCCTCAGAATAGCCAACACAATATTGAAGAAAAACAGAGTTAGAGTACTGATGCTACCTGGCTTCAAGACTTACTATAAATCTACTATAATTAAGAGTGTAGCAGTGGTGAAAAAACACACAAATTGATCAATGGAATGGAATAAAGAGCCCAGAAATAGAGCCACATAAATATGGTCAACTGATCTTTGGCAAAGGAGCAAAGGCAATGCAGTGGAGCAAAGATAGTCTTTTCAGTAAATGAAGCTTGGACGACTCAATATCCACATGCAAGTAAAAAAAGAATTTAAACAGAGACCTTACACCCTTCACAAAAATTAACTCAAAATGGATCATACATCTAAACGTAAAATTCAAAACTGTAAAACTATAATACTCCTAGAACATAACATAGGATAAAATCTAGATGACGTTAGGTTTGGCAATGAAATTTTAGACAAAACACCAAAGGCGTAATCCATGAAAGAAAAAATTGATAAGCTGGACTCCATTAAAATTGAAATATTTTGCTGCGCAAAAGAAATTGTCAAGGGAATGAGAAGACAAGCTATAGACTGGGAGAAAAGATTTGCAAATGACACATCTAATAAAGGACTGTTATCCATGATTTACAAAGAACTCTTAAAATTAAACAAAACAAAAAAAATTAAAAATAGGCCAAAGACCTTAACGTGCATATCACTAAAGAAAATATGTAGATGGCAAATAAGCATATGAAAAAGATGCTCCATATTGTGTGTCATCAGGAAAATGCAAATTTAAATGGCAAAATGATACCACTTTATACTTATAAGAATGGTCAAAATGCAGAACTCTGACAAGACAAAATGCTGGAGAGGAAATGGGGCAACAGAAATGCTTATTCATTGCTGGTGGGAATGCAAAATGGCACAGCCCCTTTGGAAGACAGCATGGCAATGTCTTACAAAACCAAAGATACTCTTGGCATGTGATCTTTCACTCATGCTTCTCTTGGGTATTTACCAAAAAGAGCTGCAAACTTATGTCTACACAAAAACCTGCACGTGGATATTTATAGTAGTTTTATTCATAATTGCCAAAACTTGGAAACAGCCAACATGTCCTTCAGTAAGTGAATGGATAAATAGACTGGCACTTCCAGGCAATGGAATAATATTCAGTGCTAAAAGAAATGAGCTATCAAACCATGAAAAGGCATGGAGGCAAATTAAATGCATATTACTATGAGTGAAAGAGGCCAGTCTGAAAAAGATACATACTGTATGATTCCAATTACATGGCATAATGGAAAGGCAAAACTATGGAAACTATTAAAAAAAATCAGTGGTTGCCAGGGGTTAGGGAAGAGGGAGGAATGAATAGATGGAACCTAAAGAATTTTTAGGTCAGCAATACTAATCTGAATGGCATTATAATTTTGGATACATGAAATTATAAATTTGTCCAAGCACATGGAATGTACAACACTAAGCATTAAGCCTAATGGAAACTGTGGACTTTGGGTGATAATGATGTGTCAATGTAGGTTCATCAGTTGTAACAAATCTACCACTCTGGTGGGGATGTTAATATGGGGAATATTCCATGTGAGGGGCAAGGAAGAGGTATTTGGGAAATATCTATACATTATTCTCTGTACATTTTGCTGTAAACCTAAAATTGCTCTAAAAAATAAAGTCTAACAAAAATATAAATAAATAAAATTAAAAGAAAAAAGTATAACCAAGTTCTTTCAAGTAGAGATTCTGACAGAAGTTTAAATGAATAAAACCCAAATGTAGTTAAGAGCAAATTTTTATATGAACATATATTGTTAAAATCTTAAAGTCTTAAGAACATATATTTTCTTAAAGAAATTTATTCATAATAATTCATATAATAATTTTATATATGAGTCTTTGATTTTTACCCAATTTCATTAAAAAGTAATTTCTTCTGAAACTAAGATAAATTATAATTATCAATACTTTTGAATATTTCTAGACTAAAGTAAGAATATGCTACTATTTACCTAATTCAGCAGTATGTATCTCATGCTTTTGGGTCTATACCTAGACCACTTTAATATAAAATAAGCAATATTATGTATATTATGGATTTGAAGAAACTGCTTAGAGGTCAGAAACATAGTGGAATATGGGATTATGGGTAGCCCTAGAGATACATGTCTTTAGCAACAATTTAGAATTGAAGAACTTCAAGATTTCATCTTGAATTTGAGGCATTATGTACCAATTTTTAAATTATAGAATATAGCATTATGCTTTTTTAAAAGTAATAAAAATTATGTTCCCTTTCATTAAAGTAGTTTATAACATATCTGGGTTTGTAACTGCATCCTGAAGAGTTGGAGAATAGTACAGGAATTTTTTTTTTTACAATAAAGGTTAAAACAAAATATAGAAACAGATTTTATGTAAAAAGCTTTATTTGAATTATAACTGATATTTAAACATTGAATTACATATAAATAATATATTATCTCCAAAAAAAAAACTAGAAAAATAACAAGCTGCTTGACAAAAGTAACCCAAAGGTGACTGACTCTCTGATTCAATCTTTCCAGTAACAGTTAAATATATGAGAGAACTTAAGAAGATAGTGTAAAAAAATTAGGGGCCAAGAGACAACTGGGGAGTCATGAGACAGTTCCTGGAAGAAGGAAGTCAAGGGGGCTGGGCTCAGAGGAGATGACTCTGGGAAATGTATAGAGAAGGGAGCCATGGAGAAGACGCAGTGTCAGAAGAGAGGAACAGAAAGAAACTGGTCAGGGAAAGGTGGGGAAGTTCAGAGGCCTAAAAAGAAGAGGATTCTAGGAAAGCAGGTGACCGTCTGGGCTCCCCCTTCTCTCAGGCATGCTATTACTCGTTGAATCTCTCCTATTTTGTAGTTCAGTATTTATTAATAACCCATAAATTGGGTGTTTACATCAGTATTTTAAAAAAGAATTTGGAAATAATAAAGGAAAACCACAGTATACACTGAGTTAAGTTTTTTTTTTTTTTAGAGAAAAGTGTATTTTAAATGACTCCTATAACTCAGTATCTCCCTTTGTAAAATATAAGTAATAAAACAGTAATACTCAAATGTTTTTACAAAGACAAAGAAATAAAGCTGCTATAAAGGTTCTTGTAGAAGCATGAGTGCCACTATACAGTAAATTTTAAAAATCTCTCTTAAAATGTCCATTTATATGTATGGTTTCTGCTGGAAAAAAATATTTCTGACTTTCTTATTGCCAGCTTGTGAAACAACATTATAAATTACTAGAACCAAAAACTACATACTTTAGCTTATTGTTATATTTTGTTTTAATCATGTCAATCAATGCACGACATTTCAATACATATAGATATATACCTATGTGATATAGGCAATACATATTTCACTTCAGACCTTAACAGTATTTATATTATGGATGCACAATAAAAGTCCTATATAACAATTTTAGATTATTTACAAACTACGCATTCTGGATGCAGATTTTTTATTAAAATTTTTAATCCCATGTTTATTTGACAGACTGTCCCAGAGCCTTTATTGCAGATATGTTAAATAAGTTAAATAAGTGAGAGAAGTTAAGAAAGATAGTGTAAAAAAATTAGGGGCCAAGAGACAACGGGGGAGTCATGAGACAGTTCCTGGAAGAAGGAAGTAAAAGTAATGCAAAGTCTCTTTCATTTTCAACTAAGCAAATCATAATGAACAACACAAATTTTCTGATCTCTCTACAAGGTCATATTATAGTTTATAAACCTAGATATAATTTTGTGTTTAGAGTACCCCAAGGCGCCCTGTATAACTTATCTATTCTTTACTGAGACTAAATTTTTCAAAAAGGAAAGTTTTATTTGATTTTTTTCATCAAGAATTTACATGAAACCTGCAAGATCTGGTCTTTTTAATTCTTTAACTCCTCTTAAAAAAGTATTCCCAAAATGCTGAAAAAAAGGCAAAATTAGAATGCAAAATAAATAGTTTCTTTTCATGATGCAAAAAAGCTAAGAACTACTTCTTAATTTTTATCAGTTTTGACTTGAAGCTTTGAAGAACTGCAACTGGCCAGAAACTACTCTCCATCTCTGACTTCTTTTCTTCCCCCTCCCCACTCCTCCGCAGCCACACTAAATAGATACGTGAGTGTTTTCTGCATGTAGGGCAACACTGTGCTTATCATAGAAGAAGAATAAATATTTACTCAATGAAAAAAACTTTGACTTTTCATTCTTTTGTTCTCTCAATGCACAGTAAGTGCACATCTGTGCCAAGCACTGTGCTAATCATAAAATAAAATGAAAGAAAGAAATGATGTCAACTAAATCATACAGTGGAGGTACACTGGGTGCAAATAGAGCTGAACATCCGAACTTGTGTGGAGGGTGGGAGAAAGGAGAGGATGAGGGGGCTACAGTCAGGGTCTCTTAGAGAATGTGACTTTCAAACTGAGAGATGAATGATAAATGAGTTAGCCGCATAAAGATAAAGGAGATTTGGAGGTAGGAAAAAGAGCTGTTGATGATCAGAAGTCAAAAGAAAATATGGTGTATGCAATTAATTTTTTAAAAATCAGTATGATTGAAAGAACCCAAAAGGAGATAAGAAAAGCAAAAGAGACAGGAGGGAGAAATAGGGGCCAGTCTGACAGGCTTTAATATTATCTTAGTGATAATAAAAT
Organism: Homo sapiens; assembly: GCF_000001405.40. Lineage (NCBI taxonomy): Eukaryota > Metazoa > Chordata > Mammalia > Primates > Hominidae > Homo > Homo sapiens. The sequence continues at coordinate 95,694,795 of NC_000006.12, read as the reverse complement.
TCCATTACAAAGTTTAACAGGATGGACATAATAAAATGTTTTATAGAAAAGATTATGATGGCTTCTTTGCAGAGAATATATGGACAAGGGTCATGCTTTGCATTAATGAAAGCAAGGCTGTTGCAGCAATTCACATAATAGCTGATGGTGGTTGCCCTGAGCTCATGATTCTAGGCAATTTGAAGCACCGTGAAAGAGACTGAGTATGGGCCAGGCACGGTGGCTCATACCTGTAATCCCAGCAGTTTGGGAGGCCAAGGCGGGTGGATCACCTGAGGTCAGGAGTTCAAGACCAGCCTGGTCAACATGGTGAAACCCCATCTCTACTAAAAATACAAATATTAGCCAGGCAGGATAGCGGGCGCCTGTAATCCCTGCTACTGGGAGGCTGAAGCAGGAGAATCGCTTGAACCTGGGAGGCAGAGGTTGCAGTGAGCCGAGATCACGCCGTTGTGCTCCAGCATGGGCAACAACAGCAAAACTTTGTCTCAAAAAAAAAAAAAAAAAGAGATTGAGTATGAAGAGTTTAATAATAGCATGGTGGGAGTACCCCAATGTGCATCTTAGGACCACCTCTAAGTGGAGACTCAAATCTCCACTAGTCACATAACTTCAGATTTCAGGGAATTCTTGGTTGACATCATATAGCACTGGCAGAGTTCAAGGTCAGTAGTCTTTAATGCCGTAAGAATGTTAACATTGCCTATCTGAGAGAGGAGGGACGCCATTGCCAGTTTGCTATTCGGGTCTTAGGTGTATCACAGAGAAAGCCACCAATTAGAACACAAGGTACCAGCAAAACAGCCAAGGCAGTTTGGAATACTTGGGTACAACAGTCTATCTCCTACACATATCTATGTTATAATGTATGAAAGCTAAGTGAGGGGATAATTTTACACAGGTGGAGTGTAGATGGAGGGTGTCCCCCAAATATGTAGTAACTCATACCATGCAATATATAATAGTTCGCACTATAAAAGATGCATTCAATTTTCTTTGTGCAAACTGCTCCTGCTTGGTAATTTCACATAGACTCCAGTTTAATGCTGAGTTGTAATGCCTACCTAGTGTTTCTATATCCACAGGGTGCATTGTATCTAATTTTCTGTGGCTAATTTTATTTTGGGGTTGACAGTTGCACTATGTAACACTACACAATTTTAATATTGTGTAGGAAATATAACTAGAAGAGCAACAACCAGAGGCCTTGCTTTAATTTTAAAAAGCATATGAGGAGTATTATTTTAGGAAAAGCAGAATAGTTACAAATCAATTTAAATATTTTCTCCTGATGATGTGAATTTTTCATTTTAACTTCAGTTGCAGTCATAAGCGAGATTTTTCTCAAAGCTACCTATGTGAGCTGTTACATTTTTGAAGAGTTGCAGGTTGTACACAGCTGACTCAGGCTACTAAAAAGCTCTGAAAAACAGAGTTAGATACTATTCCAACTGCTTGGCCAGAAGAGAAATTTTGTAGCAGGGCTATATTTAGCACCATGGACAGCGCAATTTAGAGTCCCAGAACAATCCACACTTTTGCAGGGGACAGTCATCACATCTGGAAAGAGCTTTGAATGGCATTTGTGGTCTCACCAGGACCTGGCCCTTTATCTGGATGTATGATATTGTTATGAGAAATGAAAAAGAAATAAATCTTGTTTTATCCACCGTGCCATGCTGTTAATAGCATCTCAAGCCTCATCTCCCTCCTTGTTTAACTTTTATGTGACAGTTCATATCAAAACCTGAAAGGAACTAATAATCACAAACGCAAACCACATTTAGAGGGTGAGATCTGTTCTAGGCTATTCCCTCTATGTCAGCTTGGAAAAACTCCTCTCTACTCTAGACAAAGTCGAGGACAAGTGGTTTGGGAGATAACTGCAGAAGAAGGAACATATGGAAATATGGAAAGATTTTATTAAAAATTTAAAAACATTGAAGTTGTGTAATATGATGGAAAAGGCACCGAACTCAGATTCAAGAGTCCTGAGAACCAAGAAATCAGATCTTCGTCTATGTAACCTTTGGAAAATCATTTAATGTCCCAGATTTATTCCCGGGTAAAAATAAAAGGTTTAGACTAAATGATAATGATGACAATATTACATACTTTTCAAAAGGATTTTCTATGCCTTATTTTGTGATTCATTATTCTCATAATTTTTAGTGTATTGTCTGCAATACATTTATTGGAGTCTATCCTCCCCCAAGTGAGAAGTTTCAGACAGGGAAAAAATAATCCTGATTATAATGAAAACCTGAGCTGACAGGCAATTATACAACTCCAGCAATTTATTACACTAAAATTTAAAAAGCTTGTATTCTGTGTATTTTAGAAGAAGAGAATGAATAACAGTCATCTATCTGCATCTTTCCTATCATTTAGATATAACAACACCGTTAGTATTTATCATAAATACTGGGAACCAAATTTTTCTCTGAAGAAAATTAATAAATAGTCTTTATTCATCATCACACAGAGGAAGACAATACCGGACTGTCTGTAGTGTCTGGTATGCTAGAATAGACTGCTAAATAGATCCTCACATTTCCTGTGAATTACAAAGGCAAACCACATTTAGAGGGTGAGATCTGTTCTAGGCTATTCCCTCTATGTCAGCTTGGACAAACTCCTCTATACTCTGGGCAGATTCAAGGATAAGTGATTTGGGAGATAATTACAGAAGAAGGAACTTATGGAAATCTTTTATTAAGACTTTTTAAAAGTATTGAAGCTGTGCAATATAATGGAAAAGGCACTGAACTCAGACTCAAGGGTCCTAAGAACCAGGAGATTCCCTGTAAGTAGCTGTTTAGGAGTCTGTTGTTCCCCAGAAGACTCCTGGTTTAAACTTGTACCTAACAGAAAAAAAAAAAAAATCTATGAAGGATTTGGCATGGTGAAGAACTCTCAAGATGAAAAAGGAACAGGCATGGAAGAAGTATGCTTTAGGGATAAGATATCTTAGACAAAATTTTGGACCAAGGGGCTCCAAAGGGGTAGAAACAGAGTTTGGTTCAGCCAAGACAGTTTGTGCGTGAGATTCACAAAGCAAGAGTTTAGGTTTCTCATTCTAAATTTTTTATACTTTTGCACTTTTTTTCTCAGTTATAATAGCAGACAAACTAAAAACACATGCATGTCCCTAGAACTCAGGTTCACTGAATCAGAAATTACAACCTTAATGCCCTAGTAAAATTCCTTCAATAGATTTGAACTGCTAAACAATGTAGTGAAAAAAAATATGGAGAAATTAGAGTTTATGGTGCTGGTAGTAGCTACTATCACTGAAAATCTGAGAAACTGAATGAATGAGCTGAGGCAGAAACAAAAAAAAAAAGAAAGACAGAAAGAAAACTCATGAGAGGAATCTCTAGAGAAGTTGTGCTTGTTGGCTGCCACCCACGCTTTCCTTATAATTTCTTCCCCTCTTATCTTTTCGAGAGCTTTAAAAGGAAGATTCTCTTTTAGGAATTAAGTGAAAAGCCAGTCTTGTGGTAAATATTTTCAGAAAAGAAACAATAAAAATTGATTCAAGGAAGCTGAATTAAGGTATAAAAAGGCTCAGGGCTATTGAGGGGGAATGTGAAGGATGTTCAGCATAACTGATGTCACATGGTTAACATTCTGCTGGGAAATGTTGAAAGATGGAGTGAGATGGGTACGGCCATTTCGTAAAGAGATGTTTGCTCTAGTAAGGTTTGTGGATTTAATTTTGAGGGTGATAGGAGCAAACTCAATATTTTATAAGTGGAAATTCCGTATTTTTTGAAAAGATAATTGATGCTGGGTTGAAGGAGGGAGAAAGCAGAAGAGATGAGTGAGGGAGATACTCCAATAATCCAGCCAAGAGATGGAGGAAGGAATGAATTTGAACACTAGAGGAGAAGAAGGGATAAATTACAGAGATATAGTGACATGTCACTTAACAATGGAGCCATGTTCTGAGAAATATGCATGTAGTTAGATGATTTTGTACTGCAAACGTCATAGAGGGTACTTACGAAAACCTAAATGGTGTAGTTTGGTACACATCTAGCTAGCTGGTATAACCTTCTGCACCTAGGCTACAAACCTGTACGGCATGTTCCTGTACTGAATACTGTAGGCAGTTGTAGCAAAATGGTAAGTATTGGTGCATCTAAACATAAAAAAGACACATTAAAATGATTGCATAATAGATAAAAAATAGTATACCTGCATAGAACACTTAGCATGAATAGAGCAGGACTCGATATTGCTTTGAGTGAGTCAGTGAGCGAATAGAAAGTGAAAGTGAAGGCCTGGGACAGTACTGCACACCACTGTAGACTTTATAAACACTGTATACTTATGCTACACTAGATTTAAAACGTATTTTTTTCTTCAGTAATAAATTAACCTTAGGTTCTTGTTGCTTTTTTACTTTATAATTTTTCATATTTTTTAAACTTTTAACTCTTTTGCAATAACACTTAGATTAAACAAACACATTGTACAGCTCTACAAAAATGTTTTCTTGCTTTATATCTTTATAAATTTTTTCTATTTCTAAATTCTTACCTTTTGTTTTTTTTTATGCTTTTTTTGTTAAAAACAGAGGCACAAACACACATATTAGCCTAAGCCTACACAAGGTCAGAATCATCAGTATCACTGTCTACCACTTCCGTATTTTGTTTCACTGGAAGGTCTTCAGGGGCAATAACACACAAGGTGCTTTCCTCTCCTATAATAACAATGCATTCTTCTGGAATACTTCTAGAAGGACCTGCCTCAGGCTGTTTTACAGTTAACTATTTTTTTAATAAATAGATGTATACTCTAAAATAATAAAAAAGGAAAGCAAATAAGACAGTAATATAAGCCAGTTTGTTATCATCATGAAGTGTTATTCACTGGACATAATTGTATGTGCTATTCTTTTCTACCTCTGGCAGCGCAGTAGGTCATAGACCAGCATTACCACAAACACATGAGTAATGTGTTGTCCTACAATGTTACAACAGCTGCAATGTCACTAGGCAATGGGAACTTTTCAGCTTCATTATAATCTTATGGAACTACTGTCATATATGCAGTTCATCATTGACCAGAAAGTCATTATGTGGGGCATAACTGTATTTGAAAAGTAAACTTAATCAGTCTTATTGAAAGACTGACTGAGGATAATAAAGTTGCTGAGGAAGACTCTAAACATAGGAGCTTGGAGAATACGATTATGGTGATTCTATCAACCACAGTAGGTAATACAAAAATTAATTGTTTGTAACTTTAGCCAAGTTTGATTAGTCTGCTGGATATCCAGATAGAAACTCTTCCAGTGAGTTTGGAACCTATGAGAAACTGGGGGCTATTAAATGTAAGGTTTATCATAGATCATCTCAAGTGCTCTACCACTCTAAAATTATATCTCCTTTCTTCTTGCCAACTCTTCATCATCCCAAGTTAACCAAAATCCCTCTGATATCATGTTTTTTATCTGGGAAATTGTGTGATAAAATGTCTACAACAGAAACTCTGTCACAGCTACCAGTACAAACCTTGTGAGGAATAATCCCATATTAGAAAAGGAAGAAAAACATAACATAAAATCTTTTCAAACTTTTTTGTAATCAAAATGCATTAATATATTAAATCTCATAAATATTTATGAAAATAAGATTTTTCAAAATACTTGTTTAAGCAATTATCTGCTAAACAGATCTAATTTAAGTTATTTTAGATATGTCTTATTCACACAGTTGAAAAACTATGATGTATGGTCTCACACTTTATTTTAAAAACAAATAAAATATCTTCCATTTAGAGGTGTGAGTTCAGCACTGTAATTTGTTCTCTTATTTAGTTGCTAAAAATAGTATCTCATCTGTATTTAACTTTGTGTGTTTTCCACTATGATAACATGCCCTAGATGCCTTTCTGAACAGCTCTTTCTGCAGTGACAAGAAGTAATGATCAAAAATGAACAGAATTATAGGCAGTTTTTCAAAATCATGAACATACATTACACAAATTAGTAAATAATTTATATAAAACTGACAATGTTCATAAGTCATGTCTTAAAATTAGCTGTTGGTGTTCTTAAGTCATGTCTTAAAATAAATATTACAATTTATTTTAAAGTTCTACTGACTTGTAATGAAATTTAAAAAGTAAAATTTAAACCTTATTTAATCATCTTTTTTGTTGTTACAACTAAGAATTCTTAGAAGAAACCACTGAAACTCTTAGACAAAATAGAGACATAAGTTTCACCTGAATAATGCCAGTTGCTGGTTTTCACTTAATAACCTCTATTTTTCTCACTTGCATCCTTTCAACATTCATCAGCAAAGTTAACAAAAACATATTTTAAATCTGTTCTCTTTTTTTCATAATTTCCTAATTTGCTGTAGTTGAAATATGTCATCCATCACCATGGGCCTTGACTTGCTTATCTTCCACTCTTGTCCATCCCTGAAATAGATTCTCCATTTAGAATAAATTGTTGAACACTTAGATCAGAATATGGCCCCCATGAACAAAAGCTAAACACCTGACAATGCCGAAGCCCTTCATAATCTTGTGCCTATTCATGTTACCAACCAGAATTTACTCTCTCCCCTCTAGCCTTTGTCCTGTAACCACTCTGGGCTCATTTGATTCCCCAAGCATGTCAAGTCTTTTCCCAACTTAGGGTCCTGGCACCAGTTCTGCCTTCTACCTTGAACACTGTTCCTTTTATATTTGCTTAGCTGTCTCCCTTTTGTGTTCCAAATCTCCCACCTTAAACACAGAAGCCTTCTTTATCACCAAGTGTAAAGAAACTACCTCCTGACTCTATCTTGCCCAAATAGTTGGACTTTCTGCACAGCACCTGTGTCCTATTTCTGGTAGATAGTTCTCTTGTTTGTTTATTTAGCTGTTTAGTGTTCTTCTTCCTCTATGTTATTTTAAAGCCTAGGACTGCCCTGTTCATAAGAGAGATGATCAAAGTGGTGGAGAGCACAGTTAGTGGCATCAAATGGCTGAAGTTTAAAGCCCTGATTATAACTGTGCTGTCTCTGGAAAGTTATTACAGTTACTTTGCATCTGTTTTTCATATGTGAAATAGGGGTGAAAGAAGGGCCTACTTATGTGATAAAGCTCTGTAAATATTAAGTAAGTTAAACAGGAACTGGTACATTTTAAGCATCTGAAAAATATCATCTATGGTTCATTATTGAGCCTCAACATATGAGACAGGACTTGGTACAAATGAAACTTACTAAGCATTAACAAAATGAAAAAAAGCAGATCATATCTCTTATTTATGTTAAGGGTATTTTTCTCTTTTAGAAATAACTTGTTATTTCCTTTATTTCAGTCTTAAGATATAGGAATTTATTTTAAAATTTGTAATCTAACTCCTCATAGATGTGGATAGTATATGACTCTGGAGATTCTCGGGTCTTTCCTATAAATATAACTAGTGATCCCTAACTTTTAGCAGTCTATAGCAAAGTAAGGCAAAAGAGAAGTGAAAAACAATAATAATTTACCAGTTGTTTGTTAATTTAGCTGCTGTCTCTGTGTAACCCCATAGCTGCAATACAAGGCAGTTTCAACTATAAACTGTGAAGAATATAAATTATGGCTAATTGAAAGTGCCAGGGAGACCTGAAATATGACACAATGCAATTACCCAAATTGGGCATATGCCAGGCTAGTACTGATGTGCCTTCTCTTAGAAATACTGCACAGTCTTACATGGCAAAAACAACCAGATTAGTAAAATACAGCTGCTAAAAATAGTTGGTGGCTCCATTTCCCGCAGCCTTGTCACAGCCTTCTGTTCCCAGGACCAGCTGCTAGGAAAGGAGTTTTGAGAAGATTCATTTTCACAAATGACCACTTATTTGCATAGATTTAACTGTATATTGCCAAAAGCCCAAGAGTTCTTCTGGTTACGTAGTCTGGGAAATCCAGTGCATATGGGGGAATAGTTTATTTTAGAAACCACCGGTTATCAATTTGATTTTAGGTTGGAAACTCTGCTGCTTCCTCAGCCTTGGGGATAGAATAAAAGATAATCTGGTCTTCTCCTTAGAAAAGAAGGTGGAATTTAATATAATAGTTATCTTTGTATGTATCTTTTATGTATCTTGGGCTTTAATTCATGGTTATATAAAGAATACTTGCAAAGTTTATTTTTATACTTTTATTAGGTTTCCTTTCACTCTGAGCTGTGTATATGTGAGTTCATTACTTTATTGCAAAGATGGAAGAAAAGTAGATTTCTTTCAATATCTACCTACCTTGTAGTAGTTTTTATTATACCCACTTACCACAGGGGGGAACCGAGTGTTAGAGTGATCAAATACCTTCTACAAGATAACACAACTTGTCCCTCACAAAGCAGGGATTCTAGTTTAGGCCCAAGTAAACGCATAGCCATTTCTCTTTCCATGACACATCACTTGTTCTCAAGGACAACTAGATTCAGAATTGTATAAAAGACTGAAAAACCGAATGAGACATTTAAAGAATATATCACTTGGTAGTGGAAAGTGTGATAGAAAGATACATACGTAGTGAGGACACTCCTCTAATATCTTCCTCTCTTCTTAGAGCCCAAGCTCTTTGTGGCTGAAATTAATGCATACCTGAGAGTGTCTGTACACAGATCAGTGAACCTAAAGGAAGTCCATGCACATGAGGGGCTGAATAGCTGGAAGGAGAGGCTTTGCATAAGAATAGAACCGCACATAACAAACTAGCCTCCAGGAGGAAGAGCTGACTCCAGCCTTCTCTGCTACAAACATGCCTTTCGCATCTCCATTATAATCCACTCAACATTGCATGGTATTTGTCAATTATCACGTGCCTGATTCTCCTGTTTGACCTGAGGTGAGAGGCAGTGCTTCACTCACTTCTGCATCAACTTGCACAGGGCTCAAAGCAGGGCAGCATAGTGTCTAAGAGCACTAGCTATGGAGACAGACACTGGGTTCTAATCTCTGCTTCACCATTCACTAGCTGTGTAAACTTAGACAAATTAATCAATCTCTCTGTGCCTCAGATTTCTTATCTCTAAAAGAGACTGTAATAACACCTGTCTCAGAGCCCCATTGTAAAGATTAAATACATTATTATCTGTGCAATGTATAGAACAGTGTAACTGCTGACAAAATAAACTTAAACATTCCCCTATCATGGTCATAAAGTTTTAATCGACAAGCTGGTTTTGGTTTGGCCTACATAGTGTATAAAAGAAAAAAAATACTGAATTAGAATATGTCCAGAAAGGTCATACACTCCACTTTTATGCAAACCCTACTACTCCTTGTTTTCTGACATTCTGTACTCTACAATTTTGTGTCATCTGTCATACCTACAATAATTTGTTATAAGACAGTGATAAAATTGTTGAAGAGGACAAGACAAGGACTTAATCTATTAGGATGACACAGAGGTTTGATTCAACACTTCTTGGATGCAATTGTTCAAACAACTGTGAATTCATGTCAAAGTTTATTATCCAGACTACATTTTTATGTACACAATTTTTAAAAAGCCAATTCTTTGCTTACATCAAAATAGTCTTTGTGTGTGGAATAACTATTATCTGTTAATGTTACATGAATATGCATACAAAAGTCTGCAAAGTTACTTATCGCAGTTAGGAGCGGCTATTATTTGTTATAAAAATTTTCATTTTTAAATATACAGAATAGCATTCTACTCTGTCAAAAATATTTTATAGTTAAAATATATATCTTTCCATGTAAATAAATATTTATTTTATTATTAACATTATTGACTAAACCATATTTTATCACATGGTGTTTCATAAATTAACCAGTCATCTCTCAATGTACATTCTGGTTTGTTCCAGTTATTATCATCATTATTTTAAATAATTTTTTAGGAAAGTATTTTTATATAAAGCTTAATGTTCACCCTCGATTGTGTCTTTAGGATAAATTCCTGAAAGTATTATTTATAATACAAATTCTCGCAGGGTTTCATGGTTTCCTACACAAATTATAAAATTTCTTTCTAGAAAAATTGTACAAATTTATGCTCTTGACAAGACTGTGTGTGAAACCACATTGTAAGTATTTTCTCCAACCCTGGATATTAGAGCTTTTGCCAAATTTACAAATAAAAATATGGTATTTCAATTTATCTTTAATTTCCATTTTTTTAATACAAAAAACATTGAATATATCTACAAGGTTTTATCAGTTATTTATAAATTTTCTGTTGTGAATCTCCCATTCATATACTGGTCTAAATTTTCATTTTAAATTCAGGTATTCATGTTTTGTGATTAATCTGCCAGAATATTTTAGATGCTGAGAAAATAATGTTTTCTATCAAATTACAAAGTGTTTGCCATAGGTTATTTACTTTGCAACGTTATTCATTTTTTTCCTATTTACATAGTAAAAGCAGACTACGCTCCACAGTTTCATCTGATTAGCTCAAGTTTACAAAATCCATTCTGCCTTAATATTGAATGAGTACTCATTTGTTTTCTTAAGTTTTACTACTTAGATTTAAAATCTATTATCCTAGAATTCTTTTGAGGAGTTATGCAAGAGTATATTTTTTAGGTTTCATATTTTATTGTACTGCCTACATAAAAATGAGCTCCACCTTTTGTATATTCTATAAGAACATAAGATTAGTTTTGTGTGGGTGTGGGTTCTTGACAATATTTTGTCTTTTTTTTCATTTCTTCCTTCACCATTGGTCCATTTTGGATTCTCTACATCTGTTTAAATTAGTCTTCATAATTTGTATTTTGGTAGAAAAATATCTACTTTTAAGAAAATTTTAAATGTATTTATAGAAAATTGAATGTTATTCTCTAATTTTCAAATGTTCTCAGCCATCTCTAATTGTTTTTTTCAGTTAATCCTGTGTATTTTTACTTCTGTTTCCCAGAAGTTTGTCCACATCTTCTTTTTCAAGAAAATCAAATATTTAATTTATCTATTACATTTTTATCTTATTTATTGCTGATTTTATTTTAATAAGTCTTAATTTCATAATATTAGCGTAGGTTATTATTCTTTTTCCTGAGTCAGTTGCTTAGCATATTTTCACTATTTGTCAATTAATAATAATGTAATAAAAGGTACAATTTTCAAAACTTATTTTCTATTAATTATTTTTTTTGTCTACTTCCTGTACTTTGCCCAACTTATTCAAGGAGTTTAGTACACTTTTATCACAAGTGCCTGTCTCAAATCTTAGTCTCTACCTTTAATGATATGATTTGGAATTTTTAACCTAGATATTATTACCTCATTTAACTGGTGGAGAACTTCTTTGGAAATGTTTTAAGTTTTACATTTTGTTTTTTTAACACGATTTAAGCAGAAGTCAATTTTTTCTCTCTCTCTTTCTCTGTCTTTCCCAACTGGTCTCAAGAGTTCTTGCAAGGCTTTGTAAGCTGTAAATTTCTTATGCATAATAATATGCAACTTTCTCTGCATTGAAAAGACGACACATGGAGAGACGCAGAAAGGAATGGAGACACCTGGAGGAGTTCTGTTCCTGGATTCCAGTTGCTTCTGCATCACGTGTCCTTGCTCTTTCTGTAAGTGCATTCATCAATAGTCTGAAATTGTGAGAATCAGTAAATGTTATTTTTTCGAGACCAAGTAGTGTTTATGACACTTGCAATAAAAAAGCTTGAGAAGTACCATTAACATTTTCTTAATGTACACAAACCTTAGAATGCTTTTCAGAAGGCTCACATAAATGCCTTAGCCATATATAATGTCACCACCCAATTTTCTCAAAATTCCATAGATTGTGCCTTGTCTTGCACACAGTTCTGTGGAAGAGAAGTTAACACCAATTCTAGTTGCATTCATTTGGGAAACTATATGTATTTATTTACATGCCCATTTCTTTCTGGAGGAAGTCTATTTTATCCTTGCCTATGTTTCCTGTTGAAGTCATTCTGTATCATCCTTCCAAATAACATTTATTTTTGTGTTGACTTTGCTGTAGCAAAAAAAAAAAAATGGTTCCCAGTCTCAGTAACTTACACAACAAACATTTATATTTTGCTTATGCTGTATGTCACTTATGTTCTCCTTTATATATTTCCTCATTCTGCAATCCAAGCTGTCAGAGCAGCTGCTTTTTAGACTATGTCATTCTTGTGGCAGAAAGAAAAGCAAGAAAGATGATAGAAATATGCAATGCCTCTTAGCAATTCCTCTTGGAAGTAAAATACCATGTTTCCTTTATGGTAGGTCAATTCTCCCTGACAATCACACAGACAAGCCTGCATGACAGTCTCACCGACAGGCCTGCATAGCACTTCAGTTGCACAGACAGATTTCCACAGAACTGCCCTAACATTGAGCAAATAATTAAACCTAGGGAAATCAGTGCCTGGACATCAAAGTTAAAAATGAAACATATGGTCAGTAGGAGCCTTGCATGGGCTTCTCCCTAACCTGGGGAGCAAGCCAAAATAATAGAGATAGTCATATTCCTAGTGCCAGAACCCATCTCGGGTCAACAGAATATGAGACGAGTCAAGGTAACAGAGGCAGCTGTTTGAATAGATTCATTGGAGAGTCTAAGGCAGCTCTCCAGACCAAGCTGTAAAGGAGATAAGATAGAAACAATCACTCCAGTATCACAGTAGACAGGCCTTGAAGGTCCTGGGGCCCATTTAATCAGACTTAGCAAGCACTGTTTGCCTCTGACCTTCTAGCTGAAACAAAATTAGTTACCAATAGACTTAGGTGCATGCTATACTGCACTTAGGCACATAACCCCAACCTATATAAGCACTAAGAAAATTGTAACACTTTGAGTTGGTCTGGTGGAATGATCTCCGGCCTTCTCCCTGTATCCGGTTACAGCAATAAATTCCCTTCTTTCCTAGTTTGTCTGCTTCTCCTTCAGCTGGAACCAGCTTGGTTCCAGGAACACCCTGTCCCAAGTAATCATCTGACCAGGCTTAAAAATACAAAGTGGGTTCTACATTGTAAGTTACCTTGCAGTGGCAGAAATGTATGATCTTCTTACAAGGCAAATGGAAGCAAATGGTTGTAAACAATAATAAAATTGCTACAGTATCATCTATCTTACTGTTGTTTGTCCTCTTGTTTTATCTTCTTCTCTTAGCACATTCATTACTTTGCTCTTTTTTCCTGCATACATGAAAAGCTGGTAAATTGTATCCTTTATTTTCCTGATCCAGCATTCTGTGACATTGATTTTACTCTTACTATCACTAAGGTGGATCTGGTGGTTTTAATTTCCTTGTGGATTGTCTTTTTTCTTATCTACTTTCAGACTTAACTAATTTGTTTCTTCTTCATCCTATTCTATTCCTCTTTTGTAGTGGCCATATATTTTTATAATCTACTTATTTTTCAAAAAGTTACTTAAACTTTTTCAAATCTCCATGTTCTTTTTTCTGTACTTACTCATTGTTAAAAAGGTGAAATTTGTCCATATTTAATAATTTTCACTCCACAGGCTCTTTGTTCTGCATGTATTATTCTCTAGGTTGATTGCTGAATTCTCTTTATAAATCAGTCAGAAAGAAGGTTGATGTAAACATCATAATCCTAAATTTCTGTGATGTATTTACCTTTTTTATTATTTTTTTTGGTTTTGTTTTTTGAGATGGAGTCTTGCTCTGTTGCCCAGGCTGGAGTGCAGTGGTGCGATTTCGGCTCCCTGAAACCTCTGCCTCCTGGGTTCAAGTGATTCTCCTACCTCAGCCTCCCGAGTAGCTGGGACTACAGGCACCTGCCACCATGCCCAGCTAATTTTGGTATTTTTAGTAGAGGTGGGGTTTCACCATGTTGACCAGGCTGATTTCGAGCTCCTGACCTCAAATGATCCACCCACCTTGGCCTCCCAAAGTGCTGGGATTACAGATGTGAGCCACCACACCCAGGCTGCTTTTGTTTATTATTCTTTCATTCTGGTGATCTGCTCTTTTTGCTCCTAAGATCCAGGGTCCCTGTGATTTATTCTCTCTTCCTCCACCTATAGCATCCTGCTTTTGGGGATGACAGCTGTCAGGTTGCACTGTGCCATCACAAATTCTCACTGATATGTGTTGATCATTTGTGTGTGTGTGTGTGTGAATTTGAAATATCTACTTGGCATTAAGAAGACAATGTGGGAGAAGTGAAAGAGGAGACATTGATGATATCTGTAAGGCAAGGGAAACAGTGTTCCTTCTCACAGGCTAGTTTCTTATAGGAAGATAGTTGGAAGAGAATGCAGAACTTCCACCGATGGGTGTACCCTGCATAAGGATAGACAGTGAGGAGCACCAGAAAAATCTGAAACTCAGCCCTTTCTAACAACCAAGTCATCTGCTCTGGCTCAGAGCTTCATCAGCTTTTCTGGATGTTTACAGAAAGGTGAAATATTTGCTAGCAGCAACCCAGTTTTATCTGTTTATGTACTTTATATAGAGTTCTAACTCTATATTCTTTTGTGTTTGGCTTTCTTCTCTCAGTATTTCTGTCACCTTCTGCTCATGGCTATCTCAACTCCCTCCACCGGTATTGTACACATCAATAGACTCCATACATATATGCAGAGAAGTTTCCAGCTCCAGGTAACCATAGATACTCATAACATAGATTTTCAGATAAGAAAATTGCATAACTTAGATTTTCAGATAAGAAAATTTCAGTTACAGAAAACTCAAATAACTTTTCACTGTACTAGTTAGAAAGACCGCTGGGAATTTAAACTCAGAAATCGTTAAGTCTCATTTCCCTATAGACTTTAAACAAACAAACAAAAAAGAAAACAAAAATCTGATTCACCTAACCATTTTGAAAACTTGACAACTAAAGAAAAATATAATTTAACTAGCCACTTTTTCTTTATATAGTTGAATATAACTGGGTCTTTGGATTTTGAGTTTGATTCAATGTAAGTCCCATTACCGGTCTCCCAAAGTCTTCTAACTTCTGAATTGTCAGAAAGAACCCAGGGAAGCAATAAAAATTGTAGCAAGAAACCCTACCTGTGTGACTTCTTGCTAATATGCAGACTACAGTGACTCTAGGCTATACCATTCACTTTGCAGATTTTGAAAAATTATAAAACAATTTGTGAAGAAAAAGGAATTTATCTCTTAATGTATCTGTATATATAGATATAAACATATGTAATAGCATATTTCTGGCCATTTTATAGTATTCCATTTATTTCTCTTAATCTTTTCATTTAGACTTTACAAAAAAATTTAAAATACAAGACAAATCTATTTGATATCCATTCTATAACTTTTCCCCCAGAGGTCAATATCTAATGTAGCCATAAATTTATTCTTTTTGAAAATTGAGACTTTTGTTTACTTCTGAGCATCCCACATTTCTTCCTTCCTGAATAATTAAAATAGTTCTGGTGGTGACTCTGGGATCACATTTGTACACTTCTTCGGTTTCCTAGAATATAATTCTTCAGAATCTGGAAACTTGGATTAATGTGAAGTAACTAGGGACTACTTCATACCACTTTCACGTACTATCTCAGGCAGCAACATCTTCTTTACATTGTTTAACATTTTTTAGTTTGGGGATAATTTTCTTTACTCTAGAAAAGATGCATTGGTTATTCTTCCTTCTATCATTTGTACTAATAATACCATTTTCACCAAACAATATGTCTGCTCGTTTCTTCTTACCTCTTTATAAGTATCTTTAGAAAGCTATGTATTAATTGTCTTCTACAGAAATAGGTTGGTTTTGTGGCATCAAGAAGACATAGGTGTGAATCATAATATTGTTTTATTCATCAGTTTCTGCAAATTTCTTACTTTCTAGAAGCTGTCTTTTCTTCGTTTGTAATTCTAAGAAAAGATAATGTATAACACAAATTTGTAATAAGAACTAAAGGGTCACATAATGTAAATATAAAGCTATTATTATTATTATTATTATTTGAGACAGATCCTTGCTCTGTCACCCAGGCTGGAGTGCAGTGGCACGATCTTGGCTTTCTGCAACCTACGCCTCCCAGGTTAAAGTGATTCTCGTGCCTCAGCCTCCTGAGTAGCTGGGATTACAGGCACACACCACCATACCTGGCTAATTTTTGTGTTTTTAGTAGAGACAGGGCTTCGCCATGTTAGCCAGGCTGGTCTTGAACTCCTGACCTCAGGTGATCCACCCATGTCGGCCACCCAAAATGCTGGGATTACAGGCGTGAGCCACTGCACCCAGTGTAAATATAAAGCTTTAGCACAATGTTTGGCACATACTATACGTAAACATTCTTAATTTCACCAAGAAGTCACAAGTTCAGTTTATACTATGCTTTTGGGGAGTAATGATCATGTGTCTGGACTGATCATGTCTCTACTCTCTGAGAAGCAGTTGTTGAGATAGAGTTAGGTGCAAGGAATTTATTGGCATGGCGGCAGAGCAAAGTGCAGAGGAGACATGCAAAAGAAGCCTTCAGAGCCAGAAAAAAAAGAAAAAGAAAAGGAACGTCTTAGACTAAGATACAGATCTGTCAAAGTCTCTTCTGGCAAAGGGGCTTTGAAGCGAAGTTGCTCATTAGAGAAGACCCACAATGGACAGCCTGACTCTGGTACCTCTGCCACACTCATCGTTGGCTGGGGAAGTCCAAAAAGAGCTCAGTCTTGATTCAGAAGTTAGATGTTGGAGTTAGACACCATCAGCCAACTTCACTCTTTGCAGCCAAAGAGCAAATCTTTCTTAAAGAGAGATCCAAGTGGCACTCCTCATGCTGCCACGTTGGGCTGTAGGGCAAAACTACATTGTTCATACAAACATGACTTCCCCACTTACTAACTGGGGGTTTGTAAGAAAGGTATGGAATCTCTCTGTGCTTCAGCTTCCTTGTCTATAAAGCAAGAAAAATAACAGTAGCTTCCATAGAGTTGTTGTGCAGGTTAAATTAAATAATGTATATAAGGTACTTAGAATAGTAATTGGAACACAACAGAGACTCAATAAACATTTGCTATTATAACTGGCATAGTCTTACATTTTGCCACTGCCATAAATTTATTCTTGCCTTCTTATA
This sequence comes from Homo sapiens, assembly GCF_000001405.40. Taxonomy (NCBI): domain Eukaryota; kingdom Metazoa; phylum Chordata; class Mammalia; order Primates; family Hominidae; genus Homo; species Homo sapiens. The sequence goes on along the minus strand of NC_000006.12, from coordinate 95,677,776 downwards.
TCCCTTCTTTCATCTTTTGTGTATATCCTGATAAAGCAAATAACATCAACACTGAGCAAACGTACGGCTTTTTTTTTTTTATTTTTCTCTTTCTCTCATTTCTCATTGTTCACAATTATCAGTCCAGGTAATTGCACTTATTAGTATTTCTGTTAATAATCCTCCTTAGTATAGGTAAGAAGAGAGTCTAAGTGAGATTTTCATGCCATAACCTTGCAGAGTAGATGTATTCATTCCACAGTACGAATAAAATAAGCTTCTTTGAGGGCAAATCATAATCACTATATGCTATATCCTTTGTGGATAAAAGGAGCTATTTTATATCCATCAAAGTTGAAATGAGGTTTAGTTTAGTGGACCAGAAAAATATTACCTGTTTTGACATAAATAGAATAGAACAATTCCAAAGAAATCCAATTTTGAACAGCACTGCATGCAGGGATTACAAAGTTTGAGAAGATCTGAGTGTTCTGAATGCTTCTTGTTGTCTAATGTGCTCTCCTAAGATTAGCCAAGCATATTATGTGAAGATGAACCAGACTTATCTTTGTGCTCTTTCAATTTTCTAACAAATGAAAATTTAATCACGATCTATTATATTCACAGAGTCCCTAATCTATTCCAGTAATCTGAATTATTTTGGGTATATTATTTTGTAAAATGATAGTACTCCTTTACAGCAATCCTAGGGCCACTATTATTATTCATACTTAGAAACAAATCACAGGCTAAAAGCTATGGCTATAGAAAAGAAACTGAATTTTATTCACTAGCTTGTCTGATGACGATTTTTTGTTTTCTAAAATTTCATTTTTTGTCATGTCATAATGACAGCATGACATGTAGAAAAGTAATGAATCTGAGTGCTATCCTCATAATACAGAAATTGTAACTCTTCAAGATATCATATGATATCAAATGATATC